>NW_012132914.1:300000-467143 GCF_000001405.40 Homo sapiens
GAGATCACCTGAGCCTAGGAGGTCAAGGCTGCAGTAAGCCGTGATCATGCCACTGCACTCCAATCTGGACGACAGAGTGAGACTTTGTCTCCAAATAAAATAAAATAAAATAAAATAAACTCAATATTTTTAAAAACTGTAATGTTTCCTTTCAAAGCTAAAATTGTATTATTCTAAATATATTTTAAAGAAGAAATGATTATTGTTCAGTGTCTTTAAAATTAGTTTTTAAAATCTCATTTGTTTTGACATTTCAAACCAAGTTAAGTATTCTTTTTCTCACCCTCCTTGAGACGGAGTCTTCCTCTTTCACCCAGGCTGGAGTGCAGTGGTGCATTCTCGGCTCACTGCAACCTTTGCCTCCCAGGTTCAAGCGATTCTCTTGCCTCAGCCTCCTGACTATCTGGGATTACAGGCGCCTGTCACCACGCCAGGCTAATTTTTTGTATTTTTCGTAGAGACGGGGTTTCATCATGTTGGCCAGGCTGGTCTGGAACTCCTGACCTCGTGATCTGCCCACCTCGGCCTCCCAAAGTGCCAGGAATACAGGCATGAACCACCACACCTGGCCATTAACCATTCTTAACATATCACGTTGCATTCTTTAAAAGTTCTAATCTTTCATGTACATAAATTACAACACAAATATTTGTACTCTAATAGTATTCACATTATAGTAAATTTTTTTTCATGCTCTGTCACCCAGGCTGGAGTGCAGTGGCGCGATCTTGTCTCATTGCAACCTTCGCCTCCCGGGTTCAAGTGATTGTCCTGCCCCAGCCTCCTGAATACCTGGGATTACAGGCGAATGCCACCACTCCCAGCAAATTTTGTGTATTTTTAGTAGAGACGGGGTTTCACCATGTTGGCAAGGCTGGTCTCAAAATCCCGAGGCTGCCTTGGCCTCCCAAAGTGCTGGGATTAGAAGTGTGAGACACCATGCCCGGCCATAATAATAAATTTTATTTTATCTTTTTTTTTTTGAGACGGACTTTTGCTACTGTTGCCCAGGCTGGAGTGCAATGGCTCAGTCTGAGCTCACCGCAACCTCCACCTCCCAGGTTCAAACGATTCTCCCGCCTCAGCCTATCGAGTAGCTGCAATTACAGACGTGCGCCACCACGCCTGGCTAATTTTTTGTATTTTAAGTAGAGAAGGGGTTTCTTCATGTTGCTCAGGCTGGTCTCAAACTCCCAACCTCAGGTGATCCACCTGCCTCAGCCTCCCAAAGTGCTGGAATTACAGGCGTGAGCCACTGCACCTGGCTCATAATAGTACATTTTTAAAAACACCATAAAATATAATCCTTGCAACACTCAATTATACCATCTGGTCGGATCTATCAGCAGATGGCACCCGAGACATACGGATTGGAAATTTTGATCTTATTATGAATGAATCCAGTCCAGAAATGCCCACCCTGCCCCCTGCTGGCTCCTGGGGCTCTGCTCTTTGGGGGAATCATGATGAAATTGTGGCAGAGAGTAGAAGTTGAGCCCCATTGCATGCCCTGAGTTCTTGTTGCCTCTCTATTATCAGGAAAAGGAGGTGAGATTGAAAGATGAAAAATGCTGGGACTTCTGCTGAGAAGAGAAAAAAGAACAAGATGTATTGATCTTACTGTATGCCAGACCCCATGCCAAGCCCTAAACATGAACCATCTCATTGGATCCTACCTAGGTCCCATAAGCTGTTGGACATCATCATCCTCATTTTACAGGAAGCTGAGGCTCTTGGCTAACATCCCTGACAGCAACACCAGCCCCTGAGTACTCAGCAGGATCCTTCACTTGGATGCCCGCTATGCAGGCTTCCTCAGCACAGGGAAGGTCACTCATCACCCACAGGCCCTTGATCGTTATCCACCCTTTGATGCTGTCAGATTCCAGAACACGCTGCACTAGTCTCTTCCTTCATAGGGAGAGAGGGAAAGTGTTATGAGAAAATCTCTCATCAATCTGACCTAGCTCCCCAAAAAGATGTAACTTTTAAAATGTCAGATGGAAATATTTAAAAAGTGTTACATGCCTGTATAGTTTTAGTATTTTACTTAAAGGGAATGTGGCTGTCTTTACTGGCTACAACCAGTTTAATTCAAGAAGGGCTGCTGGTCATCAGGGGAACAAGCAAGGTTTGGTGCTGCCCAGAGTCTCCAGCTAATACACAATATGGACATACCCTTCCAGGGCAGCGAGAAGAGAGTGGGTCCTTGTGCAGTGCAGCTGACATCCACCAACTAAGGCTTCTGGAAGCATGTGGAGACTCACAGGGAGTGGGCAGGGTCTCAGCATCTGGCTAGCGGTGAAAGACCCTGAGAAGAAGGTGCTTTCCGTGTGGATTGGCTCACTGTTCTTGCCCAGTAATGTTCCAGGCCTTTGGTGTCCACCTGGTGTGTATTAACCCACTGAACAGCCACAGAAACTAACAAGGATTTAACAGACATCTAAAGAAGTGAAGAACTGGAGGAGGCCAAGCCAAGCGTGGTGGTCCACGCCTATACTCCCTGCATTTTGGGAGGCCAAGGCAGGAGAATCACAAGCTCAGGAGTTCCAGATCAGCCTGGGGAAGACAGCGAGGCCTTGTTTCTACTAAAAAAAAGTATCCAGGTGTGGTGGCTCACACAGCTGTAGTCCTAGCTACTCAGGAGGCTGAGGTGGGAAGATCGCCTGAACCCAGGAAATTGAGGCTGCAGTGAGGTATGATTGTGCCACTGCACTGTAGCCTGAGTGACAGAAGACCTTTAAAAAACAAAAACAAAAGCAAAAGCCTGACACAGTGGCTCACACCTGTAATCCCAGCATTTTGGTAGGCCTACTTGCATGAATCACCCAAAGTCAGGAGTTTGAGACCAGCCTGACCAACATAGTGAGGAAACCCTGTCTCTACTAAACATACACAAATTAGCTGGGCACGGTGGTGCATGCCAGTAATCCCAGCTACTTGGGAGGCTGAGGCAGGAGAATCATTTAAACCCCAGGTGGAGGTTGCAGTCAGCTGAGATGGCACCATTGCACTCTAAACTCCAGCCTGGGCAACAAGAGTGAAACTCTGTCTCCAATAAAAGAATGGGAGGAAACTGATTACAATAACCAAATTTCATTTAAATGCCTTGATTTTCTTGGGCTGCATCTTATTGATTGGACAACTCAGTCAGTGCCTTTTGTTTTTTCCATCAATAACTGAAGATTCCTGAGGCTTAAACTGGAAAACAGGTTACTTAATAATAGAGGGCACCAGACAGATTCTGCTCAGTTTTCCTTTATTTCTGATTGTTTCTTTACAACCATCCATGCAAGAGTAACTCCCTCATGTATTCTCAAGCCTGAATTCCACTCTAGACATTCAGATTCCCATTTTCGACTCTACAGGATACACGTTCCCAAAGTCCCATCGAATCCATGGCAACATTTCCCCCAAGTCCTGCCCCTGCTTGATCAGCATTCCTTTCCCACTTTCAGAGCCCATGTGTGAAACGATGGGTTCTGTGCTCCCTTTAGGATGTACCTAAGACCTAGGTTTTAGTTTCCAAGTGTCCAGAAGAAAGCGTTTGACATACCCATCCAAATAGGCAGGCATTCAACAGCAGTATTGATCTGCCTCCAGGTCATAAAATGACCTGTTGCCACAGTCAGGGCAGTAGTCAGTACCGAACAAGATCCTCTTGGGGTGCCTTAAGTCCCTAACTCTCTTCATCAGCTCAGCCCTAATCTGAGTAAATCTGCTCCAGCAGAGAGTACCATCAGCACCATAACTCTCCCGTGGGGCAGGATACAGCTCCAGGCATAAGTTTTTGAGTATGATTGTGTGGCTCAGCAGGTTCTCCAGGGTGGCCATGGAGATGGGATTTCCACAGAAGCTGAAGGTGTTGAGCTCAAAGCAGCGGCTCAGGGCAGGCAGGATGGCGTTGACTTGGGAGTCTATGATGCCACAGTCATCTAAATCCAGGTACTCAAGGGTGGCTGCAACTTTTTCTAGGAGAATTTGGAGAGGCACAAGACTGTAATTGGTCAGTCTGATGCCACTCAGGTCCAGGGTCTTTAGTTGACTGATACTCGGGCACTGGGATAGATGCTTCAAGTCTGATTCCAAAAGCACACAGTTAGTTATTGTGAGGACCTTTAACGAGGTCTTCAGACAGCTGTGGAGAGAGAGCAAGAAGTTAATTCTGGGGAATCATAGGGGTGAGTGGAGGGTGGTGGGGAATGGCTTCAAGGTAATGGATGGAGACCATTTTGCCCAAGTCCAGGATCATTCTCATGGCCGGATGGTCAACACTTCGGATGATGTGTGATGAAGAGCTTTGCCACCGAGGTCAATTCCACTTTAGGCCCGGCCCAGTAACTCACACCTGTAATCCCAGAACTTTGGGAGGCTGAGACTGGTGGATTCCTTGAGATCAGGAGTTTGAGACCAGCCTGCTGAACATGGCAAAACCTCCTCTCTACTAAAAATCCAAAAATTAGCCAGCTGTGGTGGCGGGAGCCTGCAATTCCAGCTACTTGGGAAGCTGAGGCAGAAGAATCGCTTGAACCCAGGAGGTGTAGGTTGCAGTGAGCAGAGATCATGCCACTACACTCCAGCCTGGGTGACAGAGAGAGACTCTGTATTAAAAAAAAAAAAGGAGAAAAAATAATTCCATTTGAGGCTGAGTCATTTCACCATCATTTATAGGAATGGATCAAGTTCACAGAATCCCTAAAGCTCCCTTTCCTCATCTGTCAGGCAGAAAACCACATCCCTGGGCCACAGAAGCCCAGTGGAGATGCAGGCATAAAGGACAAACCCAGACAGGATCCTGCAACATCAGCTGGGGTGGGCGGGCTGCAGGCGTCCCTGACACGCCTGTATCATCAGCAAACCATCTATCACTTTCACCATTCTTTGTGCCTGCTCCCTGACCCTCTGTTTCAGAATCATACATTTCCTAGGTAATTAATTTACCTGGAGCTCAAAAGAAACTTTTACAACAGGGAATTAGAGATGGGATCATTCATGTTCACGGAACTGTGGGGCACAAAGCTGATTTTCTGACATGTGCAGATTTGCTGAGCATTCCCCTCTTCAGTGACCACTTCACTTCCCTACTTCCCATCATCTTCTTAAAAATTATCTTGTTGGCTGGGCGTGGTAGCTCTCGCCTATAATCCCAGCACTTTGGGAGTCCAAGGTGGGCGGATCACCTGAAGTCAGGAGTTGGAGAATATCCTGGCCAACATGGTGAAACCCTGTCTCTACTTAAAATATAAAAATTAGCCAGGTGTGGTGGCCCACGCCTGTAATCCCAGGCACTGAGGAGGCTGAGGCAGGAGAATCGCTTGAACCTGGGAGGCAGAAGTTGCTGCGAGCTGAGATGTCACAACTGCACTCTAGCCTGGACGATCATAGTGAAAATCCATCTCAGAAAAAAAAAAAGTTATCTTGTTTGTTTTTACTTTTATTTCTTCATTTCTGACAGGGGTCTTGGGATGTTACCCAGACTGGTCTTAAACTCCTAGGCTCAAGCTATCCTCTTGCCTCAGACTCCCAAAGTGATAGGATTACAGGCATGAGCCACCGTCCCTGGCCTATTTTTCATCATCTTAACTTAGACACACGTCCTCAGGAAGAATTCAGAAAGGCACCCTCACTAGATCTGAACCCCCCAGTAGCTAGCTTCCTAGTATGGCAACCTCTCTATAGCATCTCCCCTAGCTGATCCCTCTGCCTCTATTGGGATGGTTGCATGATACCCATTTCAGGACAGGGCCGCCAACAGGACAATGTATGGACATTCTAGTGTCCCCTTCACTGTTTCATCCTCATAGGCTGGCTCACAGTAGATGCCCACTAGCGTTTAGTGAAACAGGCTCTGCTGTGGTCTGCAGAGAAAGCTCACCACCCTCCCTCACCTGAGCAGCTGGTCCAGGTGGCCTTCGAGGAAAGAAACAGAGTTCATATAAAGCTTTTGGAGGCAGTGCAGCTTGAGGAACTGAGTGGTGAACTGGGTAACAATCTCCTTCTTCTGCTCTGGGGAAACGTAGCGAGAGACATCCATGTGGGAGAGAACGAGCTTCTGAAGATTCCTCATGTGGCCCAGGTATGGGGTAAACTGTGTCAGGATGGGCAGTACCCACTTGCAATTCACTTCCACCTCCTGGATACAGTCTAGGTTCACCATTTTCAGGATGCTTCTGATATTGCGGAAGGGCATTCCCAAAATTTTCAGCTTCTTACAGCACAGGTGTAGTAAATCTTTCCTCTGCTTGACCCATAGAAGGAGGCAGGTGAGGTGTTCATCCAGAGTCCTGTTCTTGAGCCAAAGTTCTACGAACACAGTCAAGGGCTGCCGTCCTCTCATCCTTGGACAGTCCTGCACTGGTTTTTTGTTCCTCTTGGCATTGAGGAAGCACCCACGGGCCATAGCTTCAGACCAAACCATCCAGAAGTTCTCACAGACATCCTGTAAATCCAGCACTTGAAGTTTCCACCTCCTGTGGGAAAATAGAGGTGAGACTGAGAATTTCAGAACTCATTTCTGAACTTAAACTCCACATCCTGGATAGCAGCTCCTCCCCTCCCTGCTTCTTGTCCCTGTCTCTGACATTTCTCCACCCTGTTTTCCCCTTGGATCCTGCCCACTTTCACATTTTTTTTTTTTTTTTTTTTTTTGAGACCAAGTCTCCTTCTGTCACCCAGGCTGGAGTGCAGTGGTGTGATGTCACCTCACTGCAACCTCTGCTTCCCCGGTTCAAAGGATTCTCCTGCCTCAACCTTGCAAGTAGCTGGGATTACAGGAGCCCAGCACCATGCCCAGCTAATTTTAGTATTTTTAGTAGAGTTGGGGTTTACCATGTTGGACAGGCTGGCCTCCAACTCTTGACCTCGGCCTCCCAATGTGCTGGGAATACATTGTGAGCCACCGTGCCCGGCCCAGTTCTCACTTTTCATGCTGGCTTTCAGTGCCATTAGGGGAGAGGTTCCTGTTACCTCCATGGACCTGGCATGGTCAGCAGTGCTTTCCCTGAGGAGCTGGTGAATGGCCAAGGCCTCTCAGCTTCCTCACCACCACCATCGCCCCTTGGGCCTCCTCACTTCTCATGACCCAGCTGTTCCTTCGGTTGGACACCTGGGCCCTCCCCACCAGCCCACCTGGCCCACCTCACCTGGGACGAACCCCGTGGGTAAGCAGTGCATCAAGCCCATTGAGCACAGCTTGGAAGGTCTCCAGACAAGGCATCTTTATCAGAGGCCTCAGAGGGAGGCGGCGGAAGGGCCAGGCCTGTACCATCAGCTTCAGGGCCTCACAGCGTCTCCTGCTGAAGGCCTCCATGAACAGTGGGGGGAAAAGTTCTGTGGGCAGCTCCTCCAGGGTGGACATGGCCAAGGCTTGGTCCCTCAGCACGCTCCGCCCCGCCAGCTCCAGGAGTCTGGGTGGAGTCCGGATGCTCATCTTCATGAATCTGCAGGGAAAACTTCCAGAGGACAAACCCAGAGAAAAGGCATCACTCTCAGGACAAGCCCATGCAATCTCATCTTCTCCCAGGGCCAAAGTCACTGCTTTGGCAATGGTGAAACAGCCCTCAGTTTACTCCAATTCTACTCAGTACTCAGTGGCCATTAAGCCAGCATTCTGCCTCTGCTGCATCAGCATGAGCGTCTCCGAAGCAGTGAGGAGGCAGGGCCACAACTAGCCCTTCCTTTCTATCCAGTGCTCCATCCAGTGACTAGTGAGTGTGGAGGAACCTGAAAGCAAACCCCTCCGACCATTGGGGGAAATTACTAATTACTCAAGGTTCTAAAACAATGGGAAAGGGAGTGTCACAAGCCTACATGCCCACAATTTCAGTTCCTACAAATAAGCTTGTTGGGAACATTCATGGGGCATCCCTAGAACAGGTTCTATTTGTTTTCTTTTCTTTATTTAAGGTTTCCTTCTCTTTCTCTCTCTTCTTTCCTTCTTTCCCTCTCTCCCTCCCTTCTTTCTTTCTTCCCCCCTCTCTCTCCCTTCTTTCTTTCTTGTCTTCTTTCCCTGCATCCCTTCTCTCATTCTCTCTCTCCCTCCCTCTCTCCCTCACTCTTTCTGACAGGGTCTTGCTCTGTTACCCAGCCTGGAGTGCAGTGGTGGGATCTTGGCTCACTGCAGCCTTGACTTCCCAGCCTCCCAAGCCTCCTCAGCCTCCCAAGTAGCTGGGACCACAGTTATGCATCACCACACCCAGCTCATCTTTTATGTTTTGACTTTTTGTAAAGACAGTGGATTTCACTATGTTGTCCAAGCTGGTCTTGAACTCCTAGTCTCAAGCAATCCACCCCCCTTGGCCTCCCAAAGTACCGGGATTATAGTTGTGAGCCTCCACTCCAGCCTTATTATCGAATATTTCAGTGAGAAGCTTTGAAAGCTATGTGACACTGTTATGCATCATTCGCAAGATAGATGATTCCAATACACACCTCTCGCACATATTCAAAATCAACCACTTTGGCTGGGTGCAGTGACTCACCCGTAATCTGAGCATTTTGTGAGGCCAAGGCAGGTGGATCATCTGAGATCAGGAGTTCAAGACGAGCCTGGCCAACATGGTAAAACCCTACCTCTACTAAGCCAGCAAAAATTAGCCAGGTGCAGTGGTCTGCGCCTGTAGTCCAAGCTACTAGGGAGGCTGAGGCAGGAGGATCACTTGAACCCAGGAGGCAGAAGTTGCGGTGAGCTGACATTATACCACTCCACTCCAGCCTGGGAAATAGGCTAGATTCAAAAGAGAGACAGAGAGAGCTACATTTGATTAGACTTCTTAATCTCTACCCAGTTAATCCTGATTGGATTTTTGGCTTTCTTCCAGATTAACTGATTGAATTAGATATTCATCCATCAAAATGAAAGATTTAGGGATAGGGTGAAAGTCCAAGACTCATTCACTGATTCACTCCACAAACGTGGAGTTTTACTAATATGTGTCCTTCACAGTCCTGAGTGTGAGACAGGGAAGGGTTGAATCTCTTCCTGATATTAGACAGAAAGAAAGAAAACTTGAAAGTATCTGTAGAGGGATCCTTGGCCACATCAAATTTCTCAAAATATTTCAGAGTTAAAACAGTTTTACAAAGACAGAGATGACAGTTCCTAAGAAAACACAATAGTAATCTTCATATATCCAGTGATTACCTGGGTGGCATAATTCTTCTTGGTGTTGAGGGAGCTGAGTCTCACTTCGTTGCCCAGGCTGGAGTGCAGTGGTGCCATCTCGGCTCACTGTTACCTCAGCCTCCAAGATTCAAGCAATTCTCATGCTTCAGTCTTCCACGTAGCTGGGATTACAGGCATGCACCCCCACACTCATGTCTCCATTTGGGTGGAAGAGGATGTGATTGCTTTAAAATTAAGGTCAAAGATCCTTTTTTGTTAAGATGTTGCTTTTGTTTTTTGGACAGGGTCTCTCTCTTTTGCCCAGGCTGGAGTACAGCAGTGGTGTGAGCATGGCTCACTGCATCCTCAATCTTCTGGGCTAAAGTGATTCTCCCACACCAGCCACCCAAATAGCTGGGGCTACAGATGCATGCCACCATGCCCAGCTAATTAAAAAAAAAAAAAAAGTAGAGGCCAAGCACCAGTGGCTCATGGCTCTAATCCCAGCATTTTGGGAGGCCAAGGCAGGTGGATCACTTGAGGTCAGGCGTTTGAGACCAAACTGGCCAGCATGGTGAAACCCCCGCCCCTACTAAAAATACAAAAATTAGCCAGGCATGGTTTCAGATGACTGTTATACCAGCTTCTCTGTATGGAGACTGATGCATGAGAATTGCTTGAACCTGGGAGGTAAAGGTTACAGTGAGTTGAGATCGTGCCACTGCACTCCAGTCTGGGCAACACAGCGAGACTCCATCCCCATCCTCAAAAAAAAAAAAACGTTGTGTAGAGGAGGGTTTTTGTCATGTTGCCCAGGTTGGTATCAAACCCCTGGGCTGAAATGATCCTCCCACTTTGGCCTCCCAAAGTGTTGGGGTTAAAGGCATGAGTCACTGCTCCCTTCAAGAATTTTGAAATGACCTAAACCAAAGCACAATCAACTTTTTTGAAATAAAGACAGAACTCTATTTAGAGGAAAACATTCAAAGCTTCAAATTGTTCATATGAAAAAAAAAAGGACAGGATATAGCTCTGTGCCATCGTAGGCTGCACTGTCACCATCCCAGACCAGCTGACTGTAGGTCAGATGGGAGTGTCCTTACAGAAATTAATGACTTACCAGATCTGGATGTAGTTTAGAAGGTGCTCAGACCTCAGGAAGAACCAGGCAGGAACTCCAGGCTTGAAGACTTTGGGTCTCTCCTGTGGGTCTTTAGAAGCTTTTATTGACGTTTCTAGTCACAACTCCCACCCACGCCCCTCCACGTATCCGCTGCTAGCTTCCAATCAAAAAGTGATATCTGATTGCATTTCTGAAGCTCCAGCCAGTTAATCCTGATTGGGTTTTTGGCTCTCCCCAGATTAATGGATTGAATCAGATGTCCATTCATATCACATATCTATATTCACTTCACGAAGCAAGAAATTGACAGTGTTAGGGATAGGGTAGAAGTCAAGAATACATTCATTCAAGGCCAGGTGAGGTGGCTCACTCCTGTAATCCCAGCACTTTGGGAGGCAGAGGCAGGTGGATTATCTGAGGTCAGGAGTTTGAGAAAAGCCTGGCCGACATGGTAAAACCCTACCTCTACCAAAATTACAAAAATTAGCCAGGTGCGGTGGTCTGTGCCTATAGTCCAAGCTACCAGGGAGGTTGAGGCAGGAGGATCGCTTGAACCCAGGAGGCAGAGGTTGCAGTGAATTGACAATACACCACTGCACTCCAGCCTGGGAAATAGGCAAGATTCAAAAAAAAAAAAAAAAAAAAAAGAAAAAAGAGAGAGAGAGAACTACATTTGTACATTTGATTTGACTTCTTAAACTCTACCCAGTTAATCCTGATTGGATTTTTTGCTTTCTTCCAGATTTACTGATTGAGTTAGATATTCATCCATCGAAGTGAAAGAATTAGGGATAGGGTGAAAGTCCAGGACTCATTCAGTGATTCACTCCATAAACATGGAGTTTTACTAATATGTGTCCTTCAAAGTCCTGAGTGTGAGAGAGGGAAGGGTTGAATCTCTTCCTGACATTAGAGAAAAGAAAAAACTTGAAAGTACCTTTGTTGAGGGATCCTTGGCCACATCAAATTTATCGAAATATTTCAGAGTTAAAACGTTTTACAAAGACAGAGATGACAGTCCCCAAGAAAACACAATAGAAATCTTCATGTATCCAGTGATCACCTGGGTGGTATAATCTAATTTTTTTGGTGTGGGGGAAGCTGAGTCTAACTTTTTGCCCCATGCTGGAGTGCAGCGGCGCCATCTCAGCTCATTGTAACCTCCGCCTCTGAGATTCAAGCAATTCTCATGCTTCAGGCTTCCACGTAGCTGGGATTACAGGCATGCACCCCACACCCATGTCTCCATTCAGGTGGAAGAATTACCGAGAGGATGTGATTGGTTTAAAATTAAGGTCGAAGATCCTTTTTTGTTAAGATTTTGTTTTTGTTTTTTGGACAGGGTCTCTCTCTTTTGCCCAGGCTGGAGTACAGCAGTGGTGTGAGCATGGCTCACTGCAGCCTCAATCTTCTGGGCTAAAGTGATTCTCCCACACCAGTCACCCAAATAGCTGGGACTACAGATGCATGCCACCATGCCCGGCTAATTAAAAAAAAAAAAAGTAGAGGCCGAGCACCAGTGGCTCACGGCTCTAATCCCAGCAGTTTGGGAGGCCAAGGCAGGTGGATCACTTGAGGTCAGGTGTTGGAGACCAACCTGGCCAGCATGGTGAAACACCCGCTCTACTAAAAATGCAAAAATTAGCCAGGCATGGTGGCAGATGGCTGACACCAGCTTCTGAGGATGGAGACTGAGGCATGAGAATTGCTTGAACCTGGAAGGTAAAGGTTGCAGTGAGTTGAGATCGTGCCACTGCACTCCAGTCTGGGCAACACAGTGAGACTCCATCCCCGTCCTCACAAAAAAAATAACGTTGTGTAGAGGAGGGTTTCTGTCATGTTGCCCAGGTTGGTCTCAAACCCCTGGGCTGAAATGATCCTCCCACTTTGGCCTCCCAAAGTGTTGGGGTTAAAGGCATGAGTCACTGCTCCCTTCAAGAATTTTGAAACGACATCAACCAAAGAACGATCAACTTTTTTGAAATAAAGACAGAGCTGTATTTAGAGGAAAACATTCAAGCTTTAAATTGTTCATATAAAAAAAAAAAAGACAGGATACACTTCTGTGCCATCGTAGGCTGCACTGTCAACATCCCAGACCAGCTGACTGTAGGTCAGATGGGAGTGTCCTTACAGAAATTAGTGACTTACCAGATCTGGATGTAGTCTAGAAGGTGCTCAGACCTCAGGAAGAACCAGGCAGGTACTCCAGACTTGAAGACTTTGGGTCTCTCCTGTGGGTCTTTAGAAGCTTTTATTGACCTTTCTAATCACAACTCCCACCCACGCCCCTCCACGTATCCGCTGCTAGCTTCCAATCAAAAAGTGATATCTGATTGCATTTCTGAAGCTCCAGCCAGTTAATCCTGATTGGGTTTTTGGCTCTCCCCAGATTAATGGATTGCATCAGATGTCCATTCATATCACATATCTATATTCACTTCATGAAGCAAGAAATTGTCAGTGTTAGGGATAGGGTAGAAGTCAAGAATACATTCATTCAAGGCCAGGTGAGGTGGCTCATACCTGTAATCCCAGCACTTTGGAAGGACAAGGTGAGTAGATCACCTGATGTCAGGGGTTCAAGACCAGCCAGGACAAAAAGGTGAAACCCTGTCTCTACAAAAATACAAAAATACAAAAATTAGCCCGGCATGATGGCAGGTGCCTGAAACACAGCGACTCAGGAGGCTGAGGCAGGAGAATTGCTTGAACCCAGGAGGCAATGGTTGCAGTGAGCCAAAATTGTGCCACTGCACTCCAGTCTGGGTGACAGAGGGACATTCTGTCAAAAAATAAAAAAATTAATTCATTCATGAACTCCACAAACACTGATGGAACTTTACTAATATGTGAACTTCATAGTCTTGAGTGTGAGGCAGGGAAGGATTTGATCTGTTCCCGACATTAGACAGAAAAATAAAATCTGAAAGTAGTGTTGTTAGGAGATCTTTGGCCACATCAAAATATGAAAATGCTTTATACTTTAAAAAGCTTTATAAAAACAGAGGAGTCATCCCTACAAAATCAGAATAAAAATCTCAATTTATCGAATGGTCTTGGGGATTTTATATAACCTAAGGTAGCAGATTATATGCTCGTTCTGGTGGAGGAGAGGTGCCACTGAGGGCGTGAGTGGTCTCAGGGCTTAGGTTAAGGCTTCTTTGGAAGAAATTGAAACCACAACTATAAACTTCATCAATTTAATCAGTGAAGAAGGGAGGGGGAGAAACAAAAATAAACCAAGCTTGCAACACATTCAGCATTCATCAGGAGGTCAGCTTGCTCTCTGACCTGGTTCCTTATGGTTGCTGGCAGCCTACTGTTCCAAAATCATATAGACCTTAGATTACAGTTCCCCTTAACTTCCCTGCAGACAACAATTTAAGCATTGTGAAACATTAACTTTTTTCATTTGACATATTCTTTCAGATTCTGCATGTCAGTGAAACTACTGATGCCAGCTCATCTAAATGGGCCCTGCAAGGCACTAACGCAAAGAATGCAGTTTCTAGATCCTGTTGACTTCTTCCCTCTTACCGCTACCCCAACTTTCCAGTCCCTTGCTATCCAGGATCCACTGGAAATGCTCAGTACTCCTTGGGGTGATGAATTTGAGGATCTCCTCCTAACTTCTCATTCAGCCACCCTGTGATCATTAAACTCTCTGCTGCAAACCCTGCTGTCTCACAATATTGCTAAGCTACTGTGCAGCAGGCATAGGAACCTGATGGTCCTGTAATAAAGTCATGTCAAAATTACAAATGGAAGTGAGGGTGGAGCTGGTCAGGGTTGAGCTGGGTTTTTAATGGGAACCTGGGAGTGAACCAAGACTTGCTGAACATGTTGGGGGTTATTGAGTGGGTGGAGGATGAATCTATCCAACATTGCATGGATGCCCCTTTGGTTTTGATCCTTATGACCAAGTATGAGTCTTTCAAAACAATTTATATAATCCTCCTTATATTTCCTTTCAAAACCTTCAACTTCCTTTATCTCCCCGAATAATCTCACATCTATTCCCATTTCTTTGCTTACTTCATAATACATTTTTTTTTTTTTTTTTACAGAGTCCTCTTCTCTGTTAAGTAGACCATATATTTTGTTGCCACACAAGATGAGTAACCTGGTTCTATGGACAGAAAGGGTCAAAAGGATCCCATTCCTCAACAGCTGGGGGTGATGTAAAGGCCATGGTTATTCCTTGTCATATCTGCACCTGCATATTGCCAGTGAAAACTTGCAGGGCACATTGGGCAGGCTTCCAAATTAACCACCTGTGGGAAGGTCTTTCGATTGGCTTACATCCTGTCCCTGAGCAAAGTGTCTGATCATGAGTTCATGAGTGCCTCAAACCCCACAACTACTGATGAAGGCTTCACCCACTGACAGTGAGAAGGACGCTGATTTGATTCTGATCATGAAGTTTTGCTGGTTGTCTTGCAAGGAATACGTTTTATCCTGTTATGTTGTCATCTAAAGCCAATGATTGTAACCTCTGTCTTGTCCCGTCCAATGGAAAAAAACAAAAACAAAAACTCAATTCTATTTGAGCCTTGCCAGGTCAATAAGACAAAAGAAAATTTAAAAACAAACTGATAGGAGGAGTCCCATTCCCTTCTTTTAACCTTTCTTACAAAAGCATTCCAACTTGTAACAGACTTTGGAAAACACCCACTTTGTCAGTGTGTGTCTTCCAGGTCAATCCTCACATTTAGCTTCCAGTGAAGCTTTCGTTAATTATTTCTACCTCAACAGCCTTATCTTCTATTGACACAAGGTTGTATGGTAATGGTTTGAATTGGGGTGGGAAGAAAAAATATTTCTATGTCTTTTATAAAGTAATCCTTGCATGTCATCTCCATAGAAGAATGAGTAGGTTCCTCTCCAAATATGTCCTGAGTATTGATGCACCCAATAAACAAAACTAATATTTATTTCATATACTAGAGCTATAGATGCATTCTATTTCCCTCTAGAATCTCCAATGAACCAATATCTAGTTTCAGTAAGTTTCTCTGATTATATGGCAGAGGGTAACATGGTCATGTTCTGATTCTGTGTCTATGTCGATAACTATAGCGTTCCAGCCTTCATAATATGCATCAAACCAGAGTTTATTCTAGTGTGAGTCTGGCACACCATCTAGATTAGACCCAGTTACACTAATGTTTTCTATGCATAGAGATAAGTTACCAGTAATGAAATCAATAATAGTCATAGACCACTCATTTGCACCTATAGCTTCTTCTCAATGCCAAGTCATTTAATTATCAATATTAACCAACCTACCAAAGGAAGGATAACAAATCTTATCATGAATTTAGCATCCTCAATTGCTACCCAACTGTGTACGAAAGCAGGTTGTAGTATTAAGTGTGATCCTTCCCTTTCATCTAAATGACTCCATAGCCAGCAATTGCTTTGGTTAGTGAGAGTGGCTACATTTTGAACAGAAGATCTTAGAAAGTGTTTGGTTTGAGTGGTGAAAGTACCTAACAACATAAAATATAGGTTTGATAATTTTGTGTTAATACAAAACAAAACCAAGTCTCAGTCAATGGAAGAAGATCAAATGGAGTCTTGTTCCATTGTCTTGGAAAAGCTGTCTACCAGGTGATGATGTGTGCTTCTAGGGAAGGCTTTTCCTCAGATATCCTTAAGTTTAAGTCATCTGGTACAGTCCCATCCAATGCTGTTCATGGGCAGATTTCCCTTGGTGTCATTTCTAAAGGATGCAATCTCCAAATGCTAGGGCATGAAGGTCTAAGCATCACTGAAAGCCTCCTTCACCTAGTGGAAATAGTCTTTCAAATACTGCATCAAGGTCTTGCAGTATTGATTCATATTGTTACTGAACGATGGGCTCACTCTTCTAAGTGCATAGAACCCAATACTATGACACCATGCTTGAGAAAAGTAAAAAAGATTCAACCAGGCATGGTGGCTCACGCCTATAATCCCAGCACTTTAGGAGGCTGAGGCAGGCAGATCCCAAGGTCAGAGGTTTGAGACCAACCTGGCCAACATGGAGAAACCCCCTTTCTGCTAAAAATACAAAAGTTAGCTCAGTGTGGTGACATGTGCCTGTAATCCCAGCTACTCAGGAGGCTGAGGCAGGAGAACCACTTGAACCCAGGATGCAGAAGTTGCAGTGAGCCAAGGTAGCACCATTGTACTCCAGCCTGGGCAACAGAGACTCTGTCTCTAAACAAAAAATAAAAAGAATGCAGTCTCCTTTATTGGTTCAGCTAATTTTAGTTTCAAGATACAGTTTGTTCACTCAACCTTTGTAGAATACGAAGGATAATGAAGTTAATATTAGTGCCATTGGATCAGTAAAATCTTACCTGTGTGATAACCTGCCCAGTAACTGAGTTCTCCTCCCATTGGAGATTTCTCCAGAGATGCTCCAGAAAGGAAGCAAATTTTATAATCATTTTTTTTGACTATGACTGTGGCATCAGCCTTTCTAAAAAGGTAATCTACAACCCATCCTGAAAACGGACACACAATCACAAGAATTGTAGCCTTTTTACATGGCTCACTGACATCATTGGTCCACGACAACCCCGTTTCTTGCAGCTATATGTGTGTATGTCTACCTATTCATATCTGTATCTATTTCCATTTATTACCATGATTCACTTCCACTCTCCTTTCCATAGACAGCCACTCTACTCTTTGACCTAGCCTTGAATTTGCTTGTGACCTCATGGAACATAAGTATATGGAAAGCATATAGACTATATACTTGCATTTTGTATGTGTATTTATTTAAATCCACATATATGTTATAGCGTATGGTGCTACAGAAGAGGACCTCACAATTAATTGTCCAGTCCCAGACACTTTGGAGAGAATAGACATGCTGTTATAATAATTATTATTATTTTTGGAGATAGTGTCTGGCTCTGTGGCCAGGCTGGAGTGCAATGGCATGATCTCGGCTCACTGCAACCTCTACCTCTTGGGTTCAAGTGCCTCTCCTGCCTCGGCCTCCTGAGTACCTGGGATTACAGGTGCCCGCCACCACGCCTGGCTCTTTTTTGTATTTTTAGTAGGAATGGAGTTTCTCCATGTTGGCCAGGCTTGTCTTGAACTCCTGACCTCAGCTGATCCACCCGCCTCAGCCTCCCAAAGTGCTGGGAATACAGGCCTGAGCCACTGCACTCGGCCTCTCATGTGCCTTTTTAAATTGATGGGAAAATGACACCCAGGATAATTTATGGCCATTGTGGGAATTATTGGAAATCTTTAAGACTGTTTTTCTTACAAAACCACAATTGTAGGATTAAACAGTCTGAATGGGATGCTAGCACGTAGAGCCTTCTAAACTCTCTTTCTCTTCTTTTTTTGGGGAATTTGGGATCTGCCTACTGATTACAATTAATTGGTTTTCTTAAAAAACTGTTTGGTTAAGATTTTTTTTTTTGACAAGGTCTCACTCTGTTGCCCAGGCTGGAGTACAGCAGTGGTGTGAACATGGCTCACTGCAGCCTCAATCTTCTGAGCTCAAGGGATTCTCCCACCTCAGCCACCCAAGTAGCTGGGACTACAGATCCATGCCACCATGCCCGGCTAATTTTTTAAAAAAGAAGCAGGGCGTTGGTGGCTCACTGGTGTAATCCCAGCACATTGGGAGGCCAAGGCAGGTGGATCACTTGAGGTTAGGAGTTCAAGACCAGCCTGGCCAACATGGTGAAACCCTGTTTCTACCAAAAATATAAAAATTAGCCAGGCATGGTGGCGGGTGGCTATAATCGCAGCTACTCAGGAGGCTGAGGCATGAGAATCGCTTGAGCCTGGGAGGCAGAGGTTGGAGTGAGTTGAGATCATGCCACTGCACTCCAGCCTGGGTAACAGAGCCAGATACCATCCCCACCCCTCAAAACAAATGTTTTGTAGAGATAGGGTTTTGCCATGTTGCCCAGGTTGGTCTCGAGCCCCTGGGCTCAAATGATCCTCCTGCCTTGGCCTCCCAAAGTGTTGGAATTGTAGGCATGAGTCACTGCTCCCACCAAGAATTTTTTTCTTTAAATTCCTGGTTTAATAAGGACTTGTTTATTTTGAGGAAAAAAGGTCCCAAACATGGAGCTGTTCACAAAAATAACCCACAGTATCAACTTTAGAAAACACATTTTAAGAGTATAACACTAATTATTTTTCTGAGGATGCATTTGACATGCCAACTCTCATTCACAAAAATACATTGTTAGATTTTTGTTGAACTGCCCCACACAGCACACTGACATGGGGTGTAACACACATACTTCTAACTCCAAGCTGCTTTCAGGAGCTACTCAACTCAATGAGATTGCCTTTGCAGTTAGGGAAGCAACTATTGAACTTATGTATAAATGAAAAGAACTGTATTCCCTGCATAACAAGAGATTATTTTGGAGACAGTTGATAAAAACCATACATCCTTTTTACTGTTAAGTCATAAGGAGGTATCTAAATTAAAAGCAAAAATTGCAGGGTAAGACTTAAGAAAACTTCTAGGAGCATCAAGGGAAGTGAAAATGGAACTAGGTGCAGGGCAATATGAATTAATGAATGTGGGAAGGACAAGGATGGGGAGAACAGTAAGCATGTGCTGAAGATGCTAAGGGAGAGGATCTGGTGAAAAATTTGATGTTAGACAAGCACCTAGGTAAAGAAACAATGGGATAAGATTTCTCAACCCCACTATGTGCTTAAGAGTCATCCTGGCCATTCGCCCTGTCTCTGTCATCCTCTCCTTCCTCAGCCCCTTTTTCATCATCCTTGATCAACTCCAGCTGGTTGTCCCCCTGATCTTCATTATCATCATCACACAGTAGGTCCCCCTCCTCAACAGAGTCATCTGCACCCCCCTCAGACTCCATCTTCACGTGAGTCTTATCCTTCTTCGAGGAGCTGCTGGTCTGCTCCTCTTCAGACTTAGCATTCTTTACCTCTACTCCTTGCTTGCAATGTTCCTTTTCAATTTTTTCCAGGTTTTCCAGGAGAGAATCCACTTTCTGTTTTATCTGGGTCAACTCCTGCTTAATGGCCTGAAGGTCATCTCCTTTCAGCTTTCCAGACTTGGAAGATCCCCGCTTTCCACTCTTAGAATTGAAGCCACTTTTGCCCCTTCGTGAGGTGTTTCCTGATATGCGCTGGCGTTTCGAGGGCACTACAGCCAGAGCAATGGGAGGAGGAGGAGGTACACGTGCTGGGAAACTGTACATCCCACCATAATAATCCCGTTGCAGGTTATAGTCCAAGTCAAAAGAGGAGCCGTACATCTCTGCTGCTGATCGTTTCACACCTGCGTTTCCTCGGTTCACTTTTGGCTCTGCAGCCAGGTTAATATCTACAACCTGGCTAGCAATCATTCTGCCATCCTCTCCTGCTACAGCAGCCCGGGCATTTTTCTCCTTATCATATTGAACGAAGGCAAAGCCCTTATGAACAGAGCAGCCCGCAATTTTGCCATACTTGGAAAAGATCGCCTCCACATCCGATTTCTTGACAACAAGAGTGTTGAGATTCCCAATGAACACACGGGAGTTCATGGAGTGAGGATCCATCTTGTTGGTAACGTTGCTGGCCATTGTGTTGGATGATAAGGTTTCTCAAAAAGCCAAAAACAGGAGGCGGGAGGGAGAAGAGATTCGATTCTAAGTCTCCTACTGCCGGGTTCTACGTGGAGAAGCTGACTGCGGCTCGAGGCCAGAAATGCAGCCAAACCAGCTCAGTCTTCGTCTCTTCACAAAATGGCTCCCAACAAGAATTCTGAAATGACGTAAAGAAAAGCACAATCAACATTTTTGAAATAAAGACAAAACTGCATTTAGAAAAAAAAATCAAAGCTTCAAAGTGTTCATATGAAAAAAAGAAAAAAAAGACAGGATATAGCTCTGCTCTGTCGTAGGCTGCACTGTCACCATGCTACATCGGCTGACTGTAGGTCCCATGGGAGTGTCCTTACAGAAATTAGTGACTTACCAGATCTGGGCTCAGTTTGCAGGGTGTTCAGACCTCAGGAAGAACCAAGCAGGAACTCCAGGCTTGAAGACTTTGGGTCTCTCCTGTGGGTCTTTAGAAGCTTTTATTGACCTTTCTAATCACAACTCCCACCCACGCCCTTCCACGTATGCACTGCTAGCTTCCAATCAAAAAGCAATATCTCATTGCATTTCTGAAGTTCCACCCAGCTAATCCTGATTGGGTTTTTGGCTTTCCCCAGATTAATGGATTGAACCAAATATCCATTCATATCACATACCCATATTCATTTCATGAATCAAGAAATTGACAGCATTAGGGATAGAGTGGAAATCAAGAATTCATTCATTTAAGGCCAGCTGAGTTGGCTCATGCCTGTAATCCCAGCACTTTGGGAGGCCAAGACAGGCGGATCACCTGAGGTCAGGAGTTCAAGACAAGCTTGACCAATATGGTGAAACCCTGTCTCTACAAAAATACAAAATTAGCCGGGCATGATGGCGGCTGCCTGTAATCCGGATACTTGGGAGGCTGAGGTGGGAGAATTGCTTGAACCCAGGAGGCTGAGGTTGCAGTGAACCGAGATTGCACACTGCCCTCCAGACTGGGTGACAGAGGGAGACTCTGTCAACAACAACAACAACAACAACAACAACAACAGAATGCCTTCATTCACGAACTCCACAAGCACTGATGGAATTTTACTGATATGTCACCTTCATAGCCCTGGGTGTGAGGCAGGGAAGGGGTTGATCTGTTCTGGACATTAGACAGAAAAATAAAACCTGAGAATAGTGTTGTTGGGAGATCTTTGGCCACATCAATATTTTAAAAATGCTTTATAGTTAAAATAGCTTCCTGACCTTCCTTAACCTGAACTGCTTGGTTCCCTAGAAGCAGAAATTGATCATATTAGAACCCAAACTCATACCAACCTTGACCTTCATGAAGTACTCAAGTGTTTCTGCTCTTCTTCCTCATGTGATGTAGAAAGTATTAAAAGTGATGAGTTTAGGCCGGGCACGGTGGTTCACGCCTGTAATCTCAGCACTTTCAGAGGCCGAGGTGGGTGCATCACCTGTGGTCAGGAGTTCCAGACCAGCCTGGGCAACATGGTGAAACTCTGTCTCTACTAAAAATACAAAAACTAGTTGTGTGTGGTGGCCTGTGCCTGTAATTCCAGCTAACTGGGAGACTGAGGCAGGAGAATCACTTGAACCGGGAGGCAGAGGTTGCAGTGAGGCGAGATCGCACCATTGCACTCCAGCCTGGAAAGCAAGAGTGAAACTCCATCTCAAAAAAAAATTAATAAATAAATACATTATAAATAAATAAATTAATTAATGCTTTAAAGAAAAAAGAAATAAACTTTGCCTACAAATTTCATATGCAATTGAATACCTCTTAAATTTTGATGTGAACCGACCAGGCATGGTGGCTGAGGCCTGTAATCCCAGCACTTTGGGAGGCCGAGGCGGGCAGACCACGAAGTCAGGAGATTGAGACCATCCTAGTTAACATGGTG
Source organism: Homo sapiens (assembly GCF_000001405.40). Classification (NCBI taxonomy): domain Eukaryota; kingdom Metazoa; phylum Chordata; class Mammalia; order Primates; family Hominidae; genus Homo; species Homo sapiens. The sequence goes on from NW_012132914.1 coordinate 321,727, forward strand.
AAACCCCGTCTTTACTAAAAATACAAAAAATTAGCCAGGTGTAGTGGCATGCACCTGTAGTCCCGGCTATTTAGGAGGCTAAGGCAGGAAAATTGCTTGAACCGGGGAGGCAGAGGTCGAAGTGAGCTGAGATCGTGCCACTGCATTCCAGCCTGGTGACGGAGCGAGACTCCATCTCAAAAAATAAATGAATAAAATAAATAAATCAATAAAAATATTGTGACAGGAACCAACATTGCTCAACTTGTACACTAATGTCTTACAAAATCCTTTCCTTGTCACCTTCAAATCTCCATTTCAAATGCTACACTCTGCATAACTCTACCACTTTGTTGCCATTTTCTGATGATGGAGAAGACCATACGTGTGTGTGTGTGGCATCAGAACTATTGACTCCTCCTATTGACGTTTAAGATATTCCATTACACAAACCTGGGTTCATACTTTTTGTTGATAGATCTTATGCCAAAAATGTAGGCAAAAAATGCCAAGCAGGAAATGCTATCACTTCTGAAGATGAATTCATAGAGATGGAAATTCTTTCAGAATTTATTTTTCCAGCTTTTTTCTTTGTTTGTTTGTTCGTTTGTGTTTGTTTGTTTTGAGACGGAGTCTCGCTCTGTCACCAAGTTGGAGTGCAGTGGTGAAATCTTGGCTGACTGCAACCTCCTCCTCCTGAGTTCAAGCGACTCTCATGCCTCAGTCTCTCGAGTAGCTAGGACTATGGGTGGGCGCCACCATGCTCAGCTAATTTTTGTATTTTTAGCAGAGACAGGGTTTCACCATGTTGGCTAGGATGGTCTCAATTTTTTGGCATCGTGATCTACCTGCCTTGGCCTCCTGAAGTGCTGGGATTAGAGGTGTGAGCCACCACCGTGCCCGGCCTTTTTTTTTTTTTTCCTTTTGAGATGGAGTCTCACTCTATTGCCCGGGCTGGGAAAGGGACTCCTCCTATCAATTATTTTTTTAAATTTTCTTTTGTTTTATAGACCTGACAAGGCTCAAATAGAGTTGACTTTTTGTTTTTGTTTTTTCCATTGGAAGGGACAAACAGAGGTTACAATCATTGGCTTTAGATGACAAGATAAAAGAATAAAACATATTCCTTGCAAGACAACCAGCAGAACTTCATGATCACCATCAAATCAGTGCCTTCTCACTGTCAGTGGGTGGAAGCCTTCATCAATACTTGTAGAGTTTGAAGCACTCATGAACTCACGATCAGACTCTTTACTCAGAGACAGGATGTAAGCCAAGCGAAAGACCTTCCATAGGTGGTGAATTTGGAAGCCTGCCCAATGTGACCTGCAAGTCTTGCTTCACTCCCAGGTTCCCATTAAAAACCCAGCTCAACCCTGACCAGCTCCACCCTCACTTCCATTTGTAATTTTGACATGACTTTATTAAAGGACCATCAGGTTCCTATGCCTGCTGCACAGTAGTTTAGCAATATTCTGAGACAGCAGGGTTTGCAGCAGAGAGTTTAATGATCACAAGGTGGCTGAATGAGAAGCTAGGAGGAGATCCTCAAATTCATCTCCCCAAGGAGTACTGAAGGTTTCCAGTGGATCCTGGATAGCAAGGGGCCGGAAAGTTGGGGTAGCGGTAAGAGGGAAGAAGTCAACAGGATGTAGAAACTGCATTATTTGGTGAGTTGGTGCATTGCATGGCCCTTCAGATCAGCTGGCATCAGCAGTTTCACTGACATGCAGAACCTGAAAGAATATCTCAGATGAAAAAGTTAATGTTTTACAATGCTTAAATGGTTGTCTGCAGGGAAGTTAAGGGGAACTGTAATCTAAGGTCTATATGATTTTGGAACAGTAGGTTGCGGCAACCATGAGGAACCAGGTCAGAGAGCAAGAAGACCTCCTGATGAATGCTGAATGTGTTCCAAGCTTGGTTTATTTTTGTTTCTCTCCCTCCCTTCTTCACTGATTAAATTTATAAATTTTAGAGATGTGGTTTCAATTTCTTCCAAAGAAGCCTTAACCTAAGCCCTGAGACCACTCACGCCCTCAGTGGCACCTCTCCTCCACCAGAACGAGCATGTAATCTGCTACCTTAGGTTATACAAAATCCCAAAGACCATTCAGTATATTGAGATTTTTATTCTGATTTCGTAGGGACGACTCCTCTGTTTTTATAAAGCTTTTTAAAGTAGAAAGCATTTTTATATTTTGATGTGGCCAAAGATCTCCTAACAACACTACTTTCAGATTTTATTTTTCTGTCTAATGTCGTAAACAGATCAAATCCGTCCCTGTCTCACACTCAAGACTATGAAGTTCACATATTAATAAAAAAAAAATCAGTGTTTGTGGAGTTCATGAATGAATGATTTTTTTATTTTTTGACAGAATCTCCCTCCGTCACCCAGACTGGAGTGCAGTGGCACAATTCTGGCTCACTGCAACCATTGCCTCCTGGGTTCAAGCAATTCTCCTGCCTCAGCCTCCTGAGTCGCTGTGTTTCAGGCACCTGCCATCATGCCGGGCTAATTTTTGTATTTTTGTATTTTTGTGGAGACGGGGTTTCACCTTTTTGACCTGACTGGTCTTGAACCCCTGACATCAGGTGATCTACTCACCTTGTCCTTCCAAAGTGCTGGAATTACAGGTATGAGCCACCTTGCCCACCAGTGAATGAATGTATTCTTGACTTCTACCCTATCCCTAACACTGTCAATTTCTTGCTTCACGAACTGAATATAGATATGTGATATGAATGGATATCTGACTCAATCCATTAATCTGGGGAGAGCCAAAAACCCAATCAGGATTAACTGGGTGGAGCTTCAGAAATGCAATCAGATATGGCTTTTTGATTGGAAGCTAGCAGTGCACCCGTGGAAGGGCGTGGGTGGGAGTTGTGATTAGAAAGGTCAATAAAAGCTTCTAAAGACCCACAGGAGAGACCCAAAGTCTTCAAGCCTGGAGTTCCTGCCTGGTTCTTCCTGAGGTCTGAGCACCTTCTAAACTACATCCAGATCTGGTAAGTCACTAATTTCTCTAAGGACACTCCCATCTGACCTAGAGTCAGTCAGTCTGGGATGGTGACAGTGCAGCCTACGATGGCACAGAGCTATATCCTGTCCTTTTTTTTTTTCATATGAACAATTGGAGGCTTTGAATTTTTTCCTCTAAATGCAGTTCTGTCTTTATTTCAAAAAAGTTGATTGTGCTTTGGTTTAGGTCATTTCAAAATTCTTGAAGGGAGCCGTGACTTATGCCTTTAACCCCAACACTTTGGGAGGCCAAAGTGGGAGGATCATTTCAGCCCAGGGGTTTGAGACCAACCTGGGCAACATGACAAAAACCCTCCTCTACACAACGTTTTTTTTTTGAGGGTGGGGATGGAGTCTCACTGTGTTGCCCAGACTGGAGTGCAGTGGCACGATCTCAACTCACTGCAACCTTTACCTCCCGGGTTCAAGCAATTCTCATGCCTCAGTCTCCATCCTCAGAAGCTGGTGTCACAGACATCTGAAACCATGCCTGGCTAATTTTTGTATTTTTAGTAGAGGTGGGGTTTCACCACGCTGGCCAGGTTTGTCTCGAACACCTGACCTCAAGTGATCCACCTGCCTTGGCCTCCCAAAGTGCTGGGATTACAGCTGTGAGTCACTGGTGCTTGGCCTCTACTTTTTTTTATTTTAATTAGCCGAGCATGGTGACATGCATCTGTAGTCCCAGCTATTTGGGTGGCTGGTGTGGGAGAATCACTTGAGCCCAGAAGATTGAGGCTGCAGTGAGCCATGCTCACACCACTGCTGTACTCCAGCCTGGGCAAAAGAGAGAGACCCTGTCCAAAAAACAAAAACAATATCTTAACCAAAAAGAATCTATGACCTTAATTTTAAACCAATCACGTCCTCACTGTAATTCTTCCACCCGAATGGAGACATGGGTGTGGGGGTGCATGCCTGTAATCCCAGCTACGTGGAAGGCTGAAGCATGAGAATTGCTTGAATCTCAGAGGTGGAGGTTACAGTGAGCTGAGATGGCGCCGCTGCACTCCAGCCTGGGCGACAAAGTGAGACTCAGCTTCCCCCACACCAAAAACAATTAGATTATACCACCCAGGTGATCATTGGATACATGAGGATTTCTATTGTGTGTTCTTGGGGACTGTCAACTCTGTCTTTGAAAACTGTTTTAACTCTGAAATATTTTGATAAATTTGATGTGGCCGAGGATCCCTCAACAAAGATACTTTCAAGTTTTTTCTTTCTGTCTAATATCAGGAAGAGATTCAACCCTTCCCTATCTCACACTCAGGACTGTGAAGGACACATATTAGTAAAACCCCATGTTTGTGAAGGGAATCAGTGAATGAGTCCTGGACTTACACCCTATCCCTAAATCTTTCACTTTGATGGATGAATATCTAATTGCATCAGTAAATCTGGAAGAAAGCCAAAAATCCAATCAGGATTAACTCGGTAGAAGTGGAATCAAATGTAGTTCTCTCTCTCTCTTTTTTCTTTTTCTTTTTTTTTTTTTTTTTTTTTAAATCTAGCCTATTTCCCAGGCTGGAGTTCAGTGGTGTATTGTCAGCTCACTGCAACCTCTGCCTCCTGGGTTCAAGGGATCCTCCTGTCTCAGCCTCCCTAGTAGCCTGGACTATAGGCGCAGACCACCGCAACTGGCTAATTTTTGTAATTTTAGTAGAGGTAGGGTTTTACCATGTTGGCCAGGCTTGTCTCAAACTCCTGACCTCAGATAATCCACCTGCCTCTGCCTCCCACAGTGCTGGGATTACAGGTGTGAGCCACTTCGTCTGGCCTTGAATGAATGTATTCTTGACTTCTACCCTATCCCTAACACTGTCAATTTCTTGCTTCGTGAAGTGAATATAGATATGTGATATGAATGGACATCTGATTCAATCCATTAATCTGGGGAGAGCCAAAAACCCAATCAGGATTACCTGGGTGGAGTGGAGCTTCACAAATGCAATCAGATATCATTTTTTGATTGGAAGCTAGCAGCGGATACGTGGAGGGGCGTGGGTGGGAGTTATGATTAGAAAGGTCAATAAAAGCTTCTAAAGACCCACAGGAGAGACCCAAAGTCTTCAAGCCTGGAGTTCCTGCTTGGTTCTTCCTGAGGTCTGAGCACCTTCTAAACTACATCCAGATCTGGTAAGTCACTAATTTCTGTAAGGACACTCCCATCTGACCTACAGTCAGTCAGTCTGGGATGGTGACAGTGCAGCCTAAGATGGCAGAGAGCTATATCCTGTCCTTTTTTATATATATATATGAACAATTTGAAGCTTTGAATGTTTTCCTCTAAATGCAGTTCTGTCTTTATTTCAAAAAAGTTGATTGTGCTTTGGTTGATGCCATTTTAAAATTCTTGAAGGGAGCAGTGACTCATGCCTTTAACCCCAACACTTTGGGAGGCCAAAGTGGGAGGATCATTTCAGCCCAGGGGTTTGAGACCAACCTGGGCAACATGACAAAAACCCTCCTCTACACAACGTTTTTTTTGAGGGTGGGGATGGAGTCTCACTGTGTTGCCCAGACTGGAGTGCAGTGGCACGATCTCAACTCCCTGCAACCTTTAACTCCTGGGTTCAAGCAATTCTCATGCCTCAGTCTCCATCCTCAGAAGCTGGTGTCACAGACATCTGAAACCATGCCTGGCTAATTTTTGTATTTTTAGTAGAGGTGGGGTTTCACCACGCTGGCCAGGTTGGTCTCGAACACCTGACCTCAAGTGATCCACCTGCCTTGGCCTCCCAAAGTGCTGGGATTACAGCTGTGAGTCACCATGCATCTGTAGTCCCAGCTATTTGGGTGGCTGGTGTGGGAGAATCACTTGAGTCCAGAAGATTCAGGCTGCAGTGAGCCATGCTCACACCACTGCTGTACTCCAGCCTGGGCAAAAGAGAGACACTCTGTCCAAAAACAAAATCAATCAAAAAGGATCTTTGACCTTAATTTTAAACCAATCACATCCTCTTCCACCCAAATGGAGACATGGCTGTGGGGGGTGCCTGCCTGTAGTCCCAGCTACGTGGAAGGCTGAAGCATGCGAATTGCTTGAATCTTGGAGGCAATCTTGGAGGTAACAGTGAGCCAAGATGGTGCCACTGCACTCCAGCCTGGGCGACGAAGTGAGACTCAGCTCCCTCAGCACCAAAAAAAATTATATGACCCAGGTGATCATCGGATACATGAAGATTTCTATTGTGTTTTCTTAGGGACTGTCATCTCTGTCTTTGAAAACTGTTTTAACTCTGAAATATTTTGATAAATTTGATGTGGCCAAGGATCCCTCAACAAAGATACTTTCAAGTTTTCTTTCTTTCTGTCTAATATCAGGAAGAGATTCAACCCTTCCCTGTCTCACACTCAGGACTTTGAAGGACACATATTAGTGGAAGTCCATGTTTGTGAAGGGAATCGGTGAATGAGTCCTGGACTTTCACCCTATCCCTAAATCTTTCATTTTGATGGATTAATATCTAATTCGATCAGTTATTCTTTAAGAAAGCCAAAAATCCAATAAGGATTAACTGGGTAGAGATTAAGAAGTCTAGTCAAATGTAGCTCTCTCTGTCTCTCAGTTCAATCTAGCCTATTCCCCAGGCTGGAGTGGAGTAGTATAATGTCAGCTCACTGCAACTTCTGCCTCCTGGGTTCAAGTGATCCTCCTACCTCAGCCTCCCTAGTAGCTTGGACTACAGGCGCAGACCACTGCACCTGGCTAATTTTTGCTGTCTTAGTAGAGGCAGGGTTTTACCATGTTGGCCAGGCTCGTCTTGAACTCCTGATCTCAGATGATCCACCTGCCTCGGCCTCACAAAATGCTCAGATTACAGGTGTGAGTCACTGCACCCAGCCAAAGTGGTTCAGTTTGAATATGTGTAAGAGGTGTGCATTGGAAACATCTATCTTGAGAATGATGCATAACAGTGTCACATAGCTTTCAAAGCTTCTCACTGAAATTTTCAATAACGAGGCTGGGGCAGAGGCTCACACCTATAATCCCAGTATGTTGGGAGGCCAAGAGGGGTAGATTGCTTGAGACTAGGAGTTCAAGACCAGCTTGGACAACATAGCGAAATCCACTGTCTTTACAAAAAGTCAAAACATAAAAGATGAGCTGGGTGTGGTGATGCATAACTGTGGTCCCAGCTACTTGGGAGGCTGAGGGGGAAGAATCCTTTGAGCTGGGAGGTCAAGGCTGCACTGAGCTGAGATCCCACCACTACACTCCAGGCTGGGTGACAGAGCAAGACCCTGTCAGAAAGAGTGAGAGAGGGAGAGAGAGAAAGAGAGAGAGAATGAGAGAAGGGATGCAGGGAAAGAAGACAAGAAAGAAAGAAGGGAGAGAGAGGGGGAAAGAAAGAAAGAAGGGAGGGAGAGAGGGAAAGAAGGAAAGAAGAAAGAGAGAGAAAGAGAAAGCAAGCTTAAATAATGAAAAGAAAACAAATAGAACCTGTTCTAGGGATGTCCCATGAATGTTCCCAACAAACTTATTTGTAGGAACTGAAAATGTGGGCATGTAGGCTTGTGACACTCCCATTCCCATTGTTTTAGAACCTTGAGTAATCAGTAATTTCCCCCAATGGTAGGAGGGGTTCACTTTCAGGTTCCTCCACACTCACTAGTCACTGGATGGAGCACTGGATAGAAAGGAAGGGCTCGTGGTGACCCTGCTTCCTCACTGCTTCGGAGACGCTCATGCTGATGCAGCAGAGGCAGAATGCTGGCTTAATGGCCACTGAGTACAGAGTAGAATTGGAGTAAACTGAGGGCTGTTTCACCATTGCCAGAGCAGTGAGTTTGGCCATAGGAGAAGATGAGATTGCATGGGCTTGGCCTGAGAGTGATGCCTTTTCTCTGGGTTTGTCCTCTGGAAGTTTTCCCTGCAGATTCATGAAGATGAGCATCCGGACTCCACCCAGACTCCTGGAGCTGGCGGGGCGGAGCCTGCTGAGGGACCAAGCCTTGGCCATGTCCACCCTGGAGGAGCTGCCCACAGAACTTTTCCCCCCACTGTTCATGGAGGCCTTCAGCAGGAGACGCTGTGAGGCCCTGAAGCTGATGGTGCAGGCCTGGCCCTTCCGCCGCCTCCCTCTGAGGCCTCTGATAAAGATGCCTTGTCTGGAGGCCTTCCAAGCTGTGCTCGATGGGCTGGATGCACTGCTTACCCAAGGGGTTTGTCCCAGGTGAGGTGGCCCAGGTGGGCTGGTGGGGAGGGCCCAGGTGTCCAACTGAAGGAACAGCTGGGTCATGTGAAGTGAGGAGGCCCAAGGGGGATGGTGGTGGTGAGGAAGCCGAGAGGACTTGGCCATTCACCAGCTCCTCAGGGAAAGCACTGCTCACCACGCAAGGTCCATGGAGGTAACAGGAACCTCTCCTCTAATGGCACTGAAAGGCACCATGAAAAGTGAGAACTGGGCCGGGCACGGTGGCTCACAATGTAATCCCAGCACATTGGGAGGCTGAGGTCAAGAGTTGGAGGCCAGCCTGTCCAACATGGTAAACCCCAACTCTACTAAAAATACTAAAATTAGCTGGGCATGGTGGTGGGCTCCTGTAATCCCAGCTACTTGTGAGGTTGAGGCAGGAGAATCATTTGAACCCAGGAAGCAGAGGTTGCAGTGAGGTGACATCACACCACTGCACTCTAGCCTGGGCGACAGAGGGAGACTTGGTCTCAAAAAAAAAAACAAAAAAATGTGGAAGTGGGTAGGATCCAAGGGGAAAACAGAGTGAAGAAAAGTCAGAGAGAGGGACAAGAAGCAGGGAGGGGAGGAGCTGCTATCCAGGATGTGGAGTTTAAATTCAGAAATGAGTTCTTAAATTCTCAGTCTCACCTCTATTTTCCCACAGGAGGTGGAAACTTCAAGTGCTGGATTTACAGGATGTCTGTGAGAACTTCTGGATGGTTTGGTCTGAAGCTATGGCCCGTGGGTCCTTCCTCAATGCCAAGAGGAACAAAACACCAGTGCAGGACTGTCCAAGGATGAGAGGACAGCAGCCCTTGACTGTGTTCGTAGAACTTTGGCTCAAGAACAGGACTCTGGATGAATACCTCACCTACCTCCTTCTATGGGTCAAGCAGAGGAAAGATTTACTACACCTGTGCTGTAAGAAGCTGAAAATTTTGGGAATGCCCTTCCGCAATATCAGAAGCATCCTGAAAATGGTGAACCTAGACTGTATCCAGGAGGTGGAAGTGAATTGCAAGTGGGTACTGCCCATCCTGACACAGTTTACCCCATACCTGGGCCACATGAGGAATCTTCAGAAGCTCGTTCTCTCCCACATGGATGTCTCTCGCTACGTTTCCCCAGAGCAGAAGAAGGAGATTGTTACCCAGTTCACCACTCAGTTCCTCAAGCTGCACTGCCTCCAAAAGCTTTATATGAACTCTGTTTCTTTCCTCGAAGGCCACCTGGACCAGCTGCTCAGGTGAGGGAGGGTGGTGAGCTTTCTCTGCAGACCACAGCAGAGCCTGTTTCACTAAACGCTAGTGGGCATCTACTGTGAGCCAGCCTATGAGGATGAAACAGTGAAGGGGACACTAGAATGTCCATACATTGTCCTGTTGGCGGCCCTGTCCTGAAATGGGTATCATGCAACCATCCCAATAGAGGCAGCGGGATCAGCTAGGGGAGATGCTATAGAGAGGTTGTCATACTAGGAAGCTAGCTACTGGGGGGTTCAGATCTAGTGAGGGTGCCTTTCTGAATTCTTCCTGAGGACGTGTGTCTAAGTTAAGATGATGAAAAATAGGCCAGGGACGGTGGCTCATGCCTGTAATCCTATCACTTTGGGAGTCTGAGGCAAGAGGATAGCTTGAGCCTAGGAGTTTAAGACCAGTCTGGGTAACATCCCAAGACCCCTGTCAGAAGTGAAGAAATAAAAGTAAAAACAAACAAGATAACTTTTTTTTTTTCTGAGATGAATTTTCACTTTGATCATCCAGGGTAAAGTGCACTTGTGACATCTCAGCTCGCAGCAACTTCTGCCTCCCAGGTTCAAGCGATTCTCCTGCCTCAGCCTCTTGAGTGCCTGGGATTACAGGCATGAGTCAGCACACCTGGCTAATTTTTATATTTTAAGTAGAGACAGGGTTTCACCATGTTGGCCAGGATATTCTCCAACTCCTGACTTCAGGTGATCCGCCCACCTTGGACTCCCAAAGTGCTGGGATTATAGGCGAGAGCTACCACGCCCAGCCAACAAGATAATTTTTAAGCAGATGATGTAAAGTAGGGAAGTGAAGTGGGCACTGAAGAGGGGAATGCTCAGCAAACCTGCACATGTCAGAAAATCAGCTTTGTGCCCCATAGTTTGGTGAACATGAATGATCCCATCTCTAATTCCCTGTTGTAAAAGTGTTTTGAGCTCCAGGTAAATTAATTACCTAAGCAATGCATGATTCTGAAACAGAGGGTCAGGGAGCAGGCACAAAGAATGGTGAAAGTGATAGATGGTTTGCTGATGATACAGGCATGGCAGGGACGCCTACAGCCCGCCCACCCCAGCTGATGTTGCAGGATCCTGTCTGGGTTTGTCCTTTATGCCTGAATCTCCACTGGGCTTCTGTGGCCCAGGGATGTGGTTTTCTGCCTGACAGATGAGGAAAGGGAGCTTTAGGGATTCTGTGAACTTGATCCATTCCTATAAATGATGGTGAAATGACTCAGCCTCAAATGGAATTATTTTTTTTCCTTCTTTTTTTTTAATACAGAGTCTCTCTCTGTCACCCAGGCTGGAGTGTAGTGGCATGATCTCTGCTCACTGCAACCTACACCTCCTGGGTTCAAACGATTCTTCTGCCTCAGCTTCCCAAGTAGCTGGAATTGCAGGCTCCCCCCACCACACCTGGCTAATTTTTGGATTTTTAGTAGAGACGAGGTTTTGCCATGTTCAGCAGGCTGGTCTCAAACTCCTGATCTCAAGGAATCCACCAGTCTCAGCCTCCCAAAGTTCTGGGATTACAGGTGTGAGTTACTGGGCCGGCTCTAAGGTGGAATTGACCTCGGTGGCAAAGCTCTTCATCACACATCATCCTAAGTGTTGACCATCAGGCCATCAGAATGACCCTGGACTTGGGCAAAATGGTCTCCATCCATTACCATGAAGCCATTCCCCACCACCCTCCACTCACCCCTATGATTCCCCAGAATTAACTTCTTGCTCTCTCTCCCCAGCTGTCTGAAGACCTCGTTAAAGGTCCTCACAATAACTAACTGTGTGCTTTTGGAATCAGACTTGAAGCATCTATCCCAGTGCCCGAGTATCAGTCAACTAAAGACCCTGGACCTGAGTGGCATCAGACTGACCAATTACAGTCTTGTGCCTCTCCAAATTCTCCTAGAAAAAGTTGCAGCCACCCTTGAGTACTTGGATTTAGATGACTGTGGCATCATAGACTCCCAAGTCAACGCCATCCTGCCTGCCCTGAGCCGCTGCTTTGAGCTCAATGCCTTCAGCTTCTGTGGAAATCCCATCTCCATGGCCACCCTGGAGAACCTGCTGAGCCACACAATCATACTCAAAAACTTATGCGTGGAGGTGTATCCTGCCCCGCGGGAGAGTTATGGTGCTGATGGTACTCTCTGCTGGAGCAGATTTGCTCAAATTAGGGCTGAGCTGATGAACAGAGTGAGGGACTTAAGGCACCCCAAGAGGATCTTTTTCTGTATTGACAACTGCCCTGACTGTGGCAACAGGTCATTTTATGACCTGGAGGCAGATCAATACTGCTGTTGAATGCCTGCCTATTTGGATGGGTATGTCAAACGCTTTCTTCTGGACACTTGGAAACTAAAACCTAGGTCTTAGGTACATCCTAAAGGGAGCACAGAACCCATCATTTCACACATAGGCTCTGAAAGTGGGAAAGGAAAGCTGATCAAGCAGGGGCAGGACTTGGGGGAAATGTTGCCATGGATTCGATGGGACTTTGGGGACCTGTATCCTGTAGAGTCGAAAATGGGAATCTGAATGTCTAGAGTGGAATTCAGGCTTGAGAATACATGAGGGAGTTACTCTTGCATGGATGGTTGTAAAGAAACAATCAGAAATAAAGGAAAACTGAGCAGAATCTGTCTGGTGCCCTCTATTATTAAGTAACCTGTTTTCCAGTTTAAGCCTCAGGAATCTTCAGTTATTGATGGAAAAAACAAAAGGCACTGACTGAGTTGTCCAATCAATAAGATGCAGCCCAAGAAAATCAAGGCATTTAAATGAAATTTGGTTATTGTAATCACTTTCCTCCCATTCTTTTATTGGAGACAGAGTTTCACTCTTGTTGCCCAGGCTGGAGTTTAGAGTGCAATGGTGCCATCTGAGCTGACTGCAACCTCCACCTGGGGTTTAAATGATTCTTCTGCCTCAGCCTCCCAAGTAGCTGGGATTACAAGCATGCACCACCATGCCCAGCTAATTTGTGTATGTTTAGTAGAGACAGGGTTTCCTCACTATGTTGGTCAGGCTGGTCTCAAACTCCTGACTTTGGGTGATTCAAGCAAGTAGGCCTACCAAAGTGCTGGGGTTACAGGTGTGAGCCACTGTGTCAGGCTTTTTTTTGGTTTTTGTTTTTTAAAGGTCTCCTGTCACTCAGGCTACAGTGCAGTGGCACAATCATACCTCACTGCAACCTAAATTTCCTGGGTTCAAGTGATCCTCCCACCTCAGCCTCCTGAGTAGCTAGGACTACAGCTGTGTGAGCCACCACACCTGGATACTTCTTTTTAGTAGAGACAAGGCCTCGCTGTCTTCCCCAGGCTGATCTGGAACTCCTGAGCTTGTGATTCTCCTGTCTTGGCCTCCCAAAATGCAGGGAGTATAGGCGTGGACCACCACGCTTGGGTTGGCCTCCTCTAGTTCTTCACTTCTTTAGATGTCTGTTAACTCCTTGTTAGTTTCTGTGGCTGTTCAGTGGGTTAATACACACTAGGTGGACACCAAAGGCCTGGAACATTACTGGGCAAGAACAGTGAGCCAATCCACGTGGAAAGCACCTTCTTCTCAGGGTCTTTCACTGCTAGCCAGATGCTGAGACCCTGCCCACTCCCTGTGAGTCTCCACATGCTTCCAGAAGCCTTATTTGGTGGATGTCAGCTTCACTGCACAAGGAGCCACTCTCTTCCCACTGCCCTGGAAGGGGATGTCCATATTGTGTATTAGCTGGAGACTCTGGGCAGCATCAACCCTTGCTTGTTCTCCTGATGACCAGCAGCCCTTCTTGAATTAAACTGGTTGTAGCCAGTAAAGACAGCCACATTCCCTTTAAGTAAAATACTAAAACTATACAGGCATGTAACACTTTTTAAATATTTCCATCTGACATTTTAAAAGTTACATCTTTTTGGGGAGCTAGGTCAGATTGATGAGAGATTTTCTCATAACACCTCCCCTCTCTCCCTATGAAGGAAGAGACTAGTACTAGTGCAGCGTGTTCTGGAATCTGACAGCATCAAAGGGTGGATAACGATCAAGGGCCTGTGGGTGATGAGTGACCTTCCCTGTGCTGAGGAATTCTGCATAATGGGCACCCAAGTGAAGGATCCTGCTGAGTACTCAGGGGCTGGTGTTGCTGTCAGGGATGTTAGCCTAGAGCCTCAGCTTCCTGTAAAATGAGGATGATGATGTCCAACAGCTTATGGGACCTTGGTAGGATCCAATGAGATGGTTCATGTTTAGGGCTTGGCATGGGGTCTGGCATACAGTAAGATCAATACATCTTGTTCTTTTTTCTCTTCTCAGCAGAAGTCCCAGCACTTTTCATCTTTCAATCTCACCTCCTTTTCCTGATAATAGAGAGGCAACAAGAACTCAGGGCATGCAATGGGGCTCAACTTCTACTCTCTGCCACAATTTCATCATGATTCCCCCAAAGAGCAGAGCCCCAGGAGCCAGCAGGGGGCAAGGTGGGCATTTCTGGACTGGATTCATTCATAATAAGATCAAAATTTCCAATCCGTATGTCTCGGGTGCCATCTGCTGATAGATCCGACCAGATGGTATAATTGAGTGTTGCAAGGATTATATTTTATGGTGTTTTCAAAAATGTACTATTATGAGCCAGGTGCAGTGAGTCATACCTGTAATTCCAGCACTTTGGGAGGCTGAGGCAGGTGGATCACCTGAGGTTGGGAGTTTGAGACCAGCCTGAGCAACATGAAGAAACCCCTTCTCTACTTAAAATACAAAAAATTAGCCAGGCGTGGTGGCGCACGTCTGTAATTGCAGCTACTCGATAGGCTGAGGCGGGAGAATCATTTGAACCTGGAGGTGGAGGTTGCGGTGAGCTCAGACTGAGCCATTGCACTCCAGCCTGGGCAACCCTAGCAAAACTCCATCTCAAAAAAAAAAGATAAAATAAGATTTATTATTATGGCCGGGCATGGTGTCTCACACTTCTAATCCCAGCACTTTGGGAGGCCAAGGCAGCCTCAGGATTTTGAGACCAGCCTTGCCAACATGGTGAAACCCCATCTCTACTAAAAATACACAAAATTTGCTGGGAGTGGTGGCATTCGCCTGTAATCCCAGGTATTCAGGAGGCTGAGGCAGGACAATCACTTGAACCCGGGAGGTGAGGGTTGCAATGAGACGAGATTGCACCACTTCACTCCAGCCTGGGCGACAGAGCATGAAAAAAAATTTACTATAATGTGAATACTATTAGAGTATAAATATTTGTGTTGTAATTTATGTATATGAAAGATTAGAACTTTTAAAGAATGCAACGTGATATTTCAAGAATGGTTAATGGCCAGGTGTGGTGGTTCATGCCTGTATTCCTGGCACTTTGGGAGGCCGAGGTGGGCAGATCACGAGGTCAGGAGTTCCAGACCAGCCTGGCCAACATGATGAAACCCCGTCTCTACGAAAAATACAAAAAATTAGCCTGGCGTGGTGACAGGTGCCTGTAATCCCAGATAGTCAGGAGGCTGAGGCAAGAGAATCGCTTGAACCTGCGAGGCAAAGGTTGCAGTGAGCCAAGAATGCACCACTGCACTCCAGCCTGGGTGAAAGAGGAAGACTCCGTCTCAAGGAGGGTGAGAAAAAGAATACTTAACTTGGTTTGAAATGTCAAAACAAATGAGATTTTAAAAACTAATTTTAAAGACACTGAACAATAATCATTTCTTCTTTAAAATATATTTAGAATAATACAATTTTAGCTTTGAAAGGAAACATTACAGTTTTAAAAAATATTGAGTTTATTTTATTTTATTTTATTTTATTTTATTTGGAGACAAAGTCTCACTCTGTTGTCCAGATTGGAGTGCAGTGGCATGATCACGGCTTACTGCAGCCTTGACCTCCTAGGCTCAGGTGATCTCCCTGCCTCAGTCCCCCTAGTAGCTGGAACAACAGGCATGCACCATCATGCCTGACTTATTTTTGTATTCTTAGTGAAGACCAGGCTTCACCATGTTGCCCAGACTGGTCTTGAAATTCTGGGCTCAAGCGATCCACCTGCCTCGGCCTCCTAAATTGCTGGGAGTGAGCTCTTATAGGCATGAGCCACCGCACCCAGCCTTGAGTTTATTTATTTATTTATTTTGGAGATGGAGTCTCCTTCTGTCATCCGTGCTGGAGTGCAGAGGTACGATCTCTGTTCACTGCAACTTCTGCCTCCAGGGTCCCAGCAATGCTCCTGTCTCAGCCTCCAGAGTAGCTGGGATTACAGGCATGCAACACCACACCTGATTAATTTTTGTATTATTATTATTATTATTTTTTTTAGTAGAGACAGGGTTTTGTCATTTTAGCTAGGCTGGTCTGGAACCCCTGACCTCAGGTGATCCACCTGCCTCGGCTTCCCAAAATGCTATGACTATAGACGTGAGCCACCACACCCAGCCTATTTTTTCCTTTACAGCAGTTTTAGATTCACAGAAAAACTAAGCAGAAACTGCAGAGTTCTCATCTACCTTCTTCCCCCTTCAATACACAGCACCCCCACAGGATCAGCACCCACACCAGCACAGAGCATTCATCACAACCAATGAGCCACAGGGACACATCATTATCACCCAATGTCCATAGTTCACATGAGGGATCATTGCTGGTTTTGTACATTCTATGGATTTTAACAAAGGGATAATGACATGTATCCACCATTAGAGCATCATGGAGAGTAGTTTTCTTTCCCTAAAATTCCTCTGTCCTCTTCCCATTCATCCCATTGTGCTCCCAACCCCTTGCATCCACTGGGCTTTCTACTGTCTCCTTAGAAAAATGCAAAAGCTTTTTCTGGAATGTCTAACAGGATGAGTCTTTTCAGATTGCCTTCTTTCACTTGTACAATAACGTGCATTTAGGAATTTTTCATGTCTTTTTACAGCTTTATAATAGTTCACTGACTGGATAGATCAGTTTGCTTATCCAGTCACTGACCGAAGGGCAACTTGCTAGCTTCCAAGTTTTGGCGATTATGAGTAAGTTGCTGTAAACATCCAGGTGTGGGTTTACTCACTTCATTAAATATCCAGGAGCATGATTATGGAATTGTAGGGGTATGGTATGTTTTACAATTATTTCTTCTTTCTTGACAATCTCACTTGTTCGATATTGCTGCTAAAGGTCAGGAACTTTGTCTCCATCATCCTGTGTTCCCACTGCTGAGCATGGAACGTGGCACTTGGTAGCAAATGCTGTTGACCACGTGATGCATGGAAACGTTTATCATGGATATAGTCACTAAATTGCTACCTTGGGGACATCAACATTAGCTCACTACCAATAATATAAATAAATTGGATTATGGAAAAAAATGGCCCTTGTGATACTGTGGATACTCCAGGTGTATCATGAACGTCCAGCAATTGACCAGGCACAGTGGCTCACATCTGTAATCCCAGCACTTGCAGAGACTGAGGTGGGTGGATCACTTCAGTCAGGAGTTCAAGACGACTCTGGCCAATATGATGAAACCCTGTCTCTATTAAAGACACAAAAATTAACTAGGGGGTTGAGCCAAGATGGCCGAATAGGAACAGCTCCAGTCTACAGCTCCCAGCCTGAGCGGTGCAGAAGACGGGTGATTTCTGCACTTCCAACTGAGGTACCAGGTTCTTCTCACTGGGGAGTGTCAGAAAGTGGGTGTAGGACAGTGGGTGCAGTGCACCGAGCATGAGCCAAAGCAGCATGAGGCATTGCCTCTCCTGGGAAGTGCAAGGAGTCAGGGAATTCCCTTTCCTAGTCAAAGAAAGGGGTGACAGATGGCACCTGTAAAATCCGGTCACTCCCACCCTAATACTGCGCTTTTCCAACAGTCTTAGCAAATGGCACACCAGGAGATTATATCCCGTGTCTGGCTCAAAAGGTCCTATGCCCACGGAGCCTCACTCATTGCTAGCACAGCAGTCTGAGATCAAACTGCAAGGCGGCAGCAAGGCTGGGGGAGGGGCGCCTGCCATTGTTGAGGCTTGAGTAGGTAAACAAAGCAGCCAGGAAGCTGGAACTGGGTGGAGCCCACTGCAGCTCAAGGAGGCCTGCCTGCCTCCACAGACTCCATTTCTGGGGGCAGGGCATTGCCAAACAAAAGGCAGCAGAATCCTCTGTAGACTTAAATGTCCCTGTCTGACAGCTTTGAAGAGAGTAGTGGTTCTCCCAGCACGCAGCTGGAGATCTGAGAATGGACAGACTGACTCCTCAAGTGGGTCTGTGACCCCTAAGTAGCCTAACTGGGAGGCACCCACCAGCAGGGGCAGACTGGCACCTCACATGGCCAGGTACTCCTCTGAGACAAAACTTCCACAGGAATGATCGGGCAGCAACATTTGTTGTTCACCAGTATCCACTGTTCTGCAGCCTCTGCTGCTGATACCCAGGCAAACAGCTTCTGGAGTGGACCTCCAGCAAACTCCAACAGACCTGCAGCTGAGGGTCCTGACTGTTAGAAGGAAAACTAACAAACAGAAAGGACATCCACACCAAAACCCAGTCTGTACATCAGCATCATCAAAGACCAAAGGTAGATAAAACCACAAAGATGGGGAAAAAACAGAGCAGAAAAATGGGAAACTCTAAAAATCAGAGTTCCTCTCCTCCTCCAAAGGAACGCAGCTCCTCACCAGCAATGGAACAAAGCTAGAGGGAGAAGGACTTTGATGAGTTGAGAGATGAAGGCTTCAGATGATCAAACTACTCTGAGCTAAAAGAGGAAGTTCGAACCCATGGCAAAGAAGTCAAAAACATTGAAAAAAAATTAGATGAATGGCTAACTAAAATAACCAATGCAGAGAAGTCCTTGAAGGACCTGATGGAGCTGAAAACCATGGCACGAGAACCACGTGACAAATGTACAAGCCTCAGTAGCTGATTCCATCAACTGGAAGAAAGGGTATCAGTGAGGGAAGATCAAACGAATGAAATGAAGCGAGAAGAGAAGTTCAGAGATAAAAGAATAAGAGGAAATGAACAAAGCCTCCAAGAAATATGGGACTATGTGAAAAGACCAAGTCTATGTCTGACAGGTGTACCTGAAAGTGATGGGGAGAATGGAACCAAGCTGGAAAACACTCTTCAGGATATTATCCAGCAGAACTTCCCCAATCTAGCAAGGCAGGCAAACATTCAAATTCAGGAAATACACAGAATGCCACAAAGATACTCCTTGAGAAGAGCGACTCCAAGACACATAATTGTCAGATTCGCCAAAGTTGAAATGAAGGAAAAAATGTTAAGGGCAACCAGAGAGAAAGGTCGGGTTACCCACAAAGGGAAGCCCATCAGACTGACAGCGGAGCTCTCGGCAGAAACTCTACAAGCTAGAAGAGAGTGGGGGCCTATATTCAACATTCTTAAGAAAAGAATTTTCGACCCAGAATTTCATATGCAACCAAACTAAGCTTCATAAGTGAAGGAGAAATAAATTCCTTTACAGACAAGCAAATGCTGAGAGATTTTGTCACCACCAGGCCTGCCCTAAAAGAGCTCCTGAAGGAAGCACTAAACATGGAAAGGAACAACTGGTACCAGCCACTTCAAAAACATGCCAAATTGGAAGGACCATCGATACTAGGAAGAAACTGCATCAACTAAAGAGCAAAATAACCAGCTAACATCATAATGACAGGATCAAATTCACACATAACAATATTAACCTTAAATGTAAATGGGCTAAATGCTCCAATTAAAAAACACAGACTGGCAAATTTCATAAAGAGTCAAGACCCATCAGTGTGCTGTATTCAGGAAACCCATCTCACATGCAGAGACACACATAGGCTCAAAATAAAGGGATGGAGGAAGATCTTCCAAGCAAATGGAAAACACAAAAAGGCAGGAGTTGCCATCCTAGTCTCGGATAAAACAGACTTTAAACCAACAAAGATCAAAAGAGACAAAGAAGGCCATTACATCATGGTAAAGGGATCCATTCAACAAGAAGAGCTAACTATCCTAAATATAGATGCACCCAATACAGGAGCACCCAGATTCATAAAGCAAGTCCTTAGAGACCTACAAAGAGACTTAGACTCCCACACAATAATAATGGGAGACTTCAACACCCCACTGTCAACATTAGACACATCAATGAGACAGAAAGTTAACAAGGATATACAGGAATTGAACTCAGCTCTGCGCCAAGCGGACCTAATAGACATCTACAGAACTCACCATCCAAAATCAACAGAATATACATTCTTCTCAGCACCACACTGCACTTATTCCAAAAATTGACCACATAGTTGGAAGTAAAGCACACCTCAGCAAATGTAAGAGAACAGAAATTATAACAAACTGTCTCTCAGGCCACAGTGCAATCAAACTAGAACTCAGGATTAAGAAACTCACTCAGTGTGTGATGTTCCCTTTCCTGTGTCCATGTGTTCTCATTGTTCAATTCCCACCTATGAGCGAGAACATGCAGTGTTTGGTTTTTTGTGCTTGTGATAGTTTGCTGAGAATGATGGTTTCCAGCTTCATCCATGTCCCTACAAAGGACATGAACTCATCATTTTTTATGGCTGCATAGGATAGCATTAGGAGGTATACCTAAGGCTAAATGACGAGTTAATGTGTGCGGCACACCAACATGGCACACGTATACATATGTAACAAACCTGCACGTTGTTCACATGTACCCTAAAACTTAAAGCATAATAATAATAATAAAAGAAACTCACTCAAAACCGCTCAACTACATGGAAATTGAACAACCTGCTCCTGAATGACTACTGGGTACATAACGAAATGAAGACAGAAATAAAGACATTCTTTGAAACCAATGAGAAAAAAGACACAACATACCAGAATCTCTGGGACACATTCAAAGCAGTGTGTAGAGGGAAATTTATAGCACTAAATGCCCACAAGAGAAAGCAGGAAAGATCTAAAATTGACAACCGAACATCACAATTAAAAGAACTAGAGAAGCAAGAGCAAACATATTCAAAAGCCAGCAGAAAGCAAGAAATAGCTAAGATCAGAGCAGACCCGAAGGAAATAGAGACACAAAAACCCCTTCAAAAAATCAATGAATCCGGTAGCTGGTTTTTTGAAAAGATCAACAAAATAGATAGACTGCTAGCAAGACTAATAAAGAAAAGATAGAAGAATCAAATAGATGCAATAAAAAATGATAAAGGGCATATCACCACGGATCCCACAGAAAGACAAACTACCATCAGAGAATACTATAAACACCTCTATGCAAATAAACTAGAAAATCTAGAAGAAATGGATAAATTCCTCAACACATACACCCTCCCCAGAATAAGCCAGGAAGAAGGTGAATCTCTGAATAGACCAATAACAGGCTCTGAAATTGAGGAAATAATTAATAGCTTACCAACCAAAAAAAGTCCAGGACCAGATGGATTCACAGTCGAATTCTATCAGAGGTACAAGGAGGAGCTGGTACCATTCCTTCTGAAACTATTCCACTTAATAGAAAAAGAGGGAATCCTCCCTAACTCATTTTATGAGGCCAGCATCATCCTGACACCAAAGCCTCGCAGAGACACAACAAAAAAAGAGAATTTGAGACCAATATCCCTGATTAACATCGATGCAAAAATCCTCAATAAAATACTGGCAAACCGAATCCAGCAGCACATCAAAAAGCTTATCCACCAATATCAAGTCGGCTTCATCCCTGATCCGCAAGGCTGGTTCCACTTACGCAAATCAATAAACATAATCCATCACATAAACAGAACCAATGACAAAAACCACATGATTGTTTCAATATGTGCAGAAATGGCCTTCGATAAAATTCAACACCCTTTCAGGCTAAAAACTCTAGATAAACTAGGTATTGATGGAACGTATGTAAAAATAATAAGAGCCATTTATGACAAAACCACAGCCAATATCATACTGAATGGGCAAAAGCTAGAAGCATTCCCTCTGAAAACCAGCACAATGCATGGATGCCCCCTCTCACCACTCCTATTCAACATAGTATTGGAAGTTCTGGCCAGGGCAATCAGGCAAGAGAAAGAAATAAAGAGTATTCAAATAGGAAGAGAGGAAGTCAAATTGTCTCTGTTTGCAGATGACATGATTGTATATTTAGAAAACCCCATCATCTCAGCCCAACATCTCCTAAAGCTGATAAGCAACTTCAACAAAGTCTCAGGATACAAAATCAATGTGCAAAAATCAAAATCATTCCTATACATCAACAATAGACAAACGGAGAGCCAATCATGAGTGAACTCCCATTCACAATTGCTAAAAGAAAATAAAATACATAGGAATACAACTTACAAGGGATGTGAAGGACCTCTTCAAGGAGAACTACAAACCACTGCTTAAGGAAATAAGAGAGGACACTAACACATGGAAAAACATTCCACGCTCATGGGTCTGAAGAATCAATATCATGAAAATGGCCATACTGCCCAAAGTGATTTATAGATTCAATGCTATCCCCATCAAGCTGTAATGGAGTTTCTTCACAGAATTAGAAAAAACTACTTAAAACTTCATATGGAAGCAAAAAAGAACCTGTATACACAACACAATCCTAAGCAAAAAGAACAAAGCTGGAGGCATCACGCTACCTGACTTCAAACTATACGACAAGGCTACAGTAACCAAAACAACATGGTACAGTTATCAAAACAGATATGTAGACCAATGAAACAGAACAGAGGACTCAGAAATAATGCCACACATCTACAACCATCTGATCCTTGACAAACCTGACAAAAACAGCCAATGGGGAAAGGATTCCCCATTTAATAAACGGTGTTGGGAAAACTGGCTAGCCATATGCAGAAAACTGCAAATGAACCCCTTCCTTTCACCTTATGCAAAAATTAACTCAAGATGGATTAAAGACTTAAATGTAAGACCTAAAGCCATAAAAACCCTAGAAGAAAACCTAGGTGATACCATTCAGGACATAGGCATGGGCAAAGACTTCATGGCTAAAACACTAAAACCAATGGCAACAAAAGCCAAAATTGACAAATGGGATCTAATTAAAATAAAGAGCTTTTGCACAGCAAAAGAAACTATCATCAGAGTCAACAGGCAACCTATAGAATGGGAAAATTTTTTGCAATCTATCCATCAGACAAATGGCTAATATCCAGAATCTACAAGGAACTTAAGCAAATTTACAAGAAAAAAACAAACAACCCTGTCAAAAAGTGGGTGAAGGATACTAACAGACAACTCTCCAAAAAAACCATTTATCCAGCCAACAAACATATGAAAAAATGTTCATCACCACTGGTCATTTGATTTGCATTTCTCTAATGCAAATCAAAACCACAGTGAGATACCATCTCATGCCAGTTAGAATGGTGATCATTAAAAAGTCAGGAAACAACAGATGCTGGAAAGGATGTGGAGAAATAGGAATGCTTTGACACTGTTGGTGGGAGTGTAAATTAGTTCAACCATTGTGGAAGACAGTGTGGCAATTCCTCAAGGATCTAGAACCAGAAATACCATTTGATCCAGCAATCTCATTACTGGGTATATATCCAAAGGATTATAAATCCTTCTACTATAAAGACACATGCACAAGTATGTTTATTGCAGCACTATTCACAACAGCAAAGACTTGGAACCAACCCAAATGCCCATCAATGATAGACTGGATAAAGCAAATGTGGCACATATACATCATGGAATACTATGCAGTCATAAAAAATAAGTTCATTTCCTTTGCAGGGACATGGATGAAGCTAGAAACCATCATTCTCAGCAAACTAACACAGGAACAGTAAACCAAAACACCACATAAGTGGGAGTTGAACAATGAGAACTCATGGTCACAGGTAGGGGAACACTACACATCAGGGCCTCTCGGGGTGTGGAGGGCTAGGAGAGGGGTAGCATTAGGAGAAATACCTAATGTAGATGACGGGTTGATGGGTACAGCAAACCACCATGGCATGTGTATACGTATGTAACAAAACTGCACGTTCTGCACATGTATCCCAGAACTTAAAGTGGAAAGAAAGAAAGAAAGAAAGAAAGAAAGAAAGAAAGAAAGAAAGAAAGAAAGAAAGAAAGGGAAAGAAAGAAAGAAAGAAAGAAAGAGATGAAGCAAGAAAGATGGAAGGAAGGAAGGAAGGAAGGAAGGAAGGAAGGAAGGAAGGAGAGAGAGAGAGAGAGAGAAAGAAAGAAAGAAAGAAAGAAAGAAAGAAAGAAAGAAAGAAAGAAAGAAAGAAAGAAAGAAAGAAAAAAAGAAAGAAAGAAAGAAAGGAAAAGAAAAGACAGTGGAGGGGAGGGGATGGGAGAGGAGGTGAAGGGAAGGGAAGGGAAGGGAAGGGAGAAGAAAAGAAATACCCATAAAATAGGAAAGCTGGCTGGTCACAGGAGAAGCATGAAAATATCAAGCAGTGATTTCATATAGCAGCAAGAAAAGAGCTTGTAAAATTAGCTGCAAGAATAAGGATAAGCCTTGACCCATAAGATCCGAACAAGCAGGAAGGGGCTAAGCTGGCTGACACTGAATTGGTCAGACATGGCACTGGGTTTGACCCTTGCCCTACCCCAGGCCTAATTATACACCTATTATGACAGTAAGTCACACACCAGCGCCAGGACGGTTCTGAGAATGCCCATATTTAGTATAAAAATAGTTAACACCTAGCCACGTGCAGTGGCTCATGCCTGTAATCCCAACATTTTGGGAACCTGAGGCAGGCGAATCACCTGGTGTCGGGAGTTTGAGACCACCCTGACCAACATGGAGAAATCTCGTCTCTACTAAAAATACAAAATTAGCCGAGTGTGGTGGTGCATGTCTGTAACCCCAGCTACTCCAGAGGCTGAGGCAGGAGTATTGCTTGAACACGGGAGGCGGAGATTGCAGTGAGCCAAGATCGCGCCATTGCACTCCAGCCTGGGCAACAAGAGCGAAACTCCATCTCAAAACATAAATAAATAAATAAATAAATAAATAAATAAATAAATAAATAGGTGACACCTCAGTTCTAAGAAAACTTCACCATTTTTTCTTAAAATCCTAATGATTATTTCAACCTCTCCTTACAGATCCTATAAAATTAGAAACCCAAACTCTCTTGTACCTGACTCGCTCTCCTGAATAAGCCCTCTCTTGAGTGTGTTCCTTTGCTTTGCAATAGACACTTCTTGCCTTTTGCTTCATTCTGCCTACTTCCTAAACTCTTTCTTGCAGCGGTGACAAGAATGTGGACACTGGTTGGTGATTGAGTCTCTGGGCACCTGGAGACGACCTAAGCACTATGGCAATAGTCAGTCTAAAAATCACACAGGATATCACAATTCACTCTCTGGTTTTCTTGGGGGAAAAATCCAGTAACTTTGGCCCCATATCCCCAAGGGGCATCACTCAGCACAAACTGAGAAGCAGCAGTCCTACCGCTGGGTTGTAAGTATGCGGCTTTATTCCGGGGTTCTCTATTCCATTCCATTGGTCTATGTCTCGACCTTCATACTGGCACCACGCAGTTTTGCTTACTGTTGCCTTACTGTATAAATTGAAGTCAGGTAATGTGATGTCTCCATATTTGTTCATTTTGCTTCGGATTGCTTTGGCTCTTCAGGCTCTTCTTCATCTCCATATGAATCTTAGGATTCTTTTTTTAATCTTGTGAAAATGGTGTTTGTATTTTGGTGTATGAAATTTTTAGACTGACGTTTTTAGATTGATGTTTGATGTTTGCAGTTTTTAGATTGCTTTGGGCAGTGTGGTCATTTTCACAATATTGTGTCTGTCAATCCGTGAGCATGGGCTGTTTTTCTACTTTTTTGTTGTCTATGATTTTTTTCAGCAGTGTCTTGTAGTTCATCTGATAGAGATCCTTTACCTAATGGTTAAGTGTATTCCTAGGTTGTTTTTGTTATTGTCACTGTTTTTGTTGTTGTTTTGCAACTATTGTGAAGGGATGGAGTTCTTGAATTGATTCTCAGCTTACTTGTTGTTGGTATCAAACAGTGGTACTTATTTGTACATATTGATTTTGTACCTGAGATTTAAGTGAATTCACTTATCGCATCTATGAGTCTTGGTGGAATCTTTCCAGTTTTCTAAGCACATATGATCACATCATTGGCAAACACAGGTAGTTTCACTTCCTTCTTTCCAATTTAATTATACTTTATTCCTTTTGCTTACCAGATTGCTCTGACAAAAATTTTCAGTCCTATGTTGATTACAAGTGGATAAAGTGAGGATTTTTGTCTGCTTGTAGTTCCTAGCAGGAATACTTTCAACGTTTCTTCATTCAATATGATGTTGCATGTGGATTTGTCATTTTTGGCTTCTATTATTTTGATGTATGTTCTTTCTAGGCATAGTTTGTGTAAGCGTAGTCTATTATTTTACAAGCTCAGATTTGTATTCTGTTTTATCTGAGTGCATTGTGAGATTTGGCATCTATTTTACCTGATATAAGTACAGCTACTCTTGCTGTTTTTGGTTTCCAGTTGCATGGAATATCTTATTCTACCCCTTCACTTTCCATCTACATGTATGTTTATAGGTGAATTAAGTTTCTGGAAAACAGCATATAGTAGGGTTTTATGTTTTTACTCATTCAAAGACCCTATGCCTTTCACTTGCAGAATTCAGATAAATTATATTCATTGTTTTTATTGATAAAGGCTTAGTGCTCCCATTTCATTTCTTGTTTTTTGGTTGTTTAGAGACTTCTCTCTTCCATCCTTTTCTTATTGTCTTTCTTTGTGTTTAAGTAATTTTCTCTTCTGGAATACTTAGAATGTGACTCTTCTGGCCAGAAACCTCTGTGGCTGGGGGCACCTTTGCCAGAGTTTTGATGGGGTTCACTGGGTTCGTTCTGCCCATGCAGCCTGGTAGACTATGCTTGGCTCATGTTTCAAGCCTGGAGCACATGCCTATTAAGGGTGGGTCAGGGCTGGAGTGGTGAGGGGTGTGTGAGTGAGCAGGGGGTCTGGCCACTTTGGACGGTCACCGGCTGCTGCTGCTGCAGCAGTGGGTTGGGCAGCTCCAGGTGTCAGCATGTGTGCCAGATTTCTGCAAGGCTGCAAATGAATCAGGCACAGCACAAACAGCTTCCATGGTTGTCACTGGAATACACAGTGACACCAACACTGAAAGCTTGGAAATGCCAGGAACTGCAGAACCCCCAAAAGGGAGTCACAGCCCTGGCTCAGGAAGCTCCCACATCTGGGCTCCTGGAAGAGTAGTCGCTCTTCTCTTTTTCTCTTCACCTACAATTTGGTGAGCAAGGGGCATGTTTCAGCTTTATTTGTGTTATTGCTCTTTTACCCCACCATTAGGCGGGTCTCAAGTTTTTGTCCTGTGACCAGGAAGAGTGAAATATGCAGACAAGTGGAGGGTGAGTGAGATAAAGAGGAGCTTTATTGAACAATAGAACAGCTCAGAGACCCACAGTGGGTAACTTCTTTCTGCAGCCAGGGCGTCCTGATGAGTGTTTAGTACTGAGCAGAGAGGAGGCCCTGGGGTGGGTGACCCCTCCCTCCTGGCAGGTTATTCCATCATCACCACTGCTCTCAGTAGAGAGAAGGCCCTGGAGTGGGTTGCTGCTCTCTGCAGGAAAGTCATCTCATCATCTCTACAGCTCTCAGCAGAGAAAAGGACCCGGAGGGGGTTGCTTGTCTCTACAGGAAAATCATCCCCACAGTGGGTAGTTCCTCTCTGCCACTGGTCTTCCTAATGTTCTCCCTGAGTCTGGGGTTTTTTTGACATCAGACAGGAGAAAGTATGCACTCATTGGGTCATAGGTGGCCATGAGCAGGCACAGAAAAGGCAACACATGTTCCCACTCTGGTCCATAGGACTGGTGGCCCAGCCCACGGGCTTCAGGCCCTCCTTGATCAGAAGGTGGAGCTTCACCAGTGACCCTCACCTTCCTGTCCAGGATTCTGTCTGCCTCCCACCACCAACCATGGAGCCCAGGTCACTTGTACCAAGGAGCATCCAAAGACCAGTGCTGATCAGTCCGCAACACCCCTCAGCCTCCCTCCTACACTCATCAAGGCCCAAAGTCCAGAGGGTTCAAGACAGCAGTGGGATGGTGCATCAGCACTGACCCGAGTGTGCACAGACCCACCTGGGCTGCGACAGCATCTGGGCTTGACCACAACCACACTCCAAAATTAGAGCAGGTGCCATGAGAGATGAGGCAGTGAGAGCGGACACCCCCAAGCTGCAGGAGAAGGGGGGATCTCCTGGACCCTCGAGAGTACTGGGGGACCTCATTTGGTAACTGTGACCTGGACAACTTCAGTTGCGTCTTTGGAGCTACTGCCCTGCCAACTCAGGAGGACCAGGACTCCCTCTTGTCCCAGGCTCCCATCAGCTCTGAAGTGTACGCAGCCTTGGATGTGCCCTTTCTCTGTGTTTCCCTGCAGAAGTGACAGTTGAGAAGCAGATACACAGCAGCTCTGACCAACCCCGCACAAACAAACCCAATGCTCCTGGGTGTGGTTTAACCAGCCCCAACTGCACTATCATCCAGGAGCTTGCAGGCTAACAGCAGGCAGTGAGCAGTGAAGTAGAGGCTGTGGTGGAGACTCCAGACCTGGGACAAGGTTCCATTTTGCGATGAGAGGGTGTGGGTGGCACAGTTGGCTGCCTCAGGGAAATGGAGCACAGGCCTGGCTCATGACCCAGTCAAGGGGAGTGCCTCCAGGAGTGGTTCATGGTTCCCAGGCCCAGCAATCGGGCTGGTCACCCCTATGGGGGGCGGATCTCGGAAACACAGCCTGGGGTGGATCCGCATAGAACCTCCCTTCAAGACCTGGGAGCTTGACACTGTTAGCAGGATGGGCACAGTGGCCAGATAGCTGGCCAGGTCCTTGAAGCAGGTGCCATTTCTGCTTCTCACCCTGGCCCCCTGATGGATGGCCCCAGCTATGCCTTCTGGGCCTGGCATCCGCACATCTTGTGCGAGCGTGGCACCACCCCATTCCTGTCTTCTCCTTGGGGCCCCTCTCTGCCCGTCCCTTCGCGCCTGACCGAGCTGCTCCCCGTGGGCAAAAAAGTAAGAAAAAAACTGATGACTGAAGAGAAGTAAAGAATGGGTGGAGATCATCTGTATGCCTGTTTTCCCAGCGCTTTGGGAGGCCAAGGTCAGTGGATCACTTGAAGCCAGGATCTTGAGACCAGGCTGATCAACACGGAAAAACCTCATCTCTATTAAAAATACAAAAATCAGCCAGTCTTGGTGGAACGTGCCTGCAGTCCCAGCTATTTGAGTGGTTGAGGCACAAGAATCACTTGAGCCCTGAAGGAAAGGATTGCAATGAGCCCAGATTGCACCACTGCACTCCAGCCTAAATGACAAACTGAGATTTTGTCTCCAAAACAAAACAAAGAACAAGAATGGGTGGGAAATACTTAAAATGATCAAATTTTATTTGGTTGCTTTGATGTTCTACAGCTGAAACTCAATCACAGACAAAGTAGTATTTCATTATTTTTCCATCAGTAACTCAATAACTAGATATTTCTGGTGGATAAATTGCTACAACAGGTTAAAAGTTTTCATTCAGGTGCTCTTTATTTCTGATATTCCTTGGTAACCATCCTTGCAGGGATAACATTCTCATCACTGTAGAACTTTAGCTTCTCTTTCTGACTCTGTAGGACACGGGTCCCTGAAGTTCTCATTGATGTCACCTCAACATTTTCCTCCAGCCTTGCCCCCTGCTGTTATGTTTTCTCCCTCACACTGAGCACTTCCCTGTGCTTCCTTTAAGTTGCATGTGGCCTGGACACAGTCACTCATGCCAGTAATCCCAGCACTTTAGGAAGCTGAGGCAGGAGGACCCCATAAGCCCAGCTGAGGCAGGAGGATCCCAGAGCAACACAGAGAAACCCTGTCTCAAATTGTCTTTAATAAAAATTTTGGAATTATTAAAAAATGAAATAAATAAGAAAAGAGAAAAATAGCTTGCACCTACATAGTAGATTTTAGTGTCCAAGTGCCTGGAAGAGAACTTTGGATTTCTCTACCCCACTGGGCATGCCTTCCCTAGCAGCAAAGATGGAGCTCCAGTTCCTCAGACAGTGATGAGCCACAGGAAGGGCAGGGGGTGGGACCAATGAAGATCCTCTTGGGCTGCCTGACTTCCCTCAGTGTACACATCAGCTCAGCCCGAAGTGGGGTGAAGATCTCCCAATTGACACGAACCAAGGAATTCAAACTCTCCTCAGGGGCAGGATACGTCTCCAGGCTTAACTTGCTCAGCCCACTGGTGTGGCGCAGCAGGTCCTTCAGGGCACCCATAGACATACAATTTCTGCCAAAGTAGAAGGTGGTGAGCTGGGAGCAGCGGCTCAGGCCAGGCAGGATGGCACTGAGTTGGGAGTAGTGGATCTGACAGCCCTCCAAGATGAGGGTTTCGAGAGAGGCAGCAATTTTCTCTAGCAGAGCTCCGAGGGGTTCAAGACTGATGCGGAACAGCAGCACGTAGCTGAGATTCAGATGCTTTAGGTAACCGAGGCTTGGGTACTGGGAGAGACACTTCACATCCTCTTCCAATAGGTAGCCATAAGTTAATTCCAAGTTCTCCAAGGGGTTCTGGAGGCACCTGTGGAGATCAAGAAGTTAGTTCTGGGCAATGGTACCAGTTAGATGAAGGTAGTGCCTTCATCTAGGAAAATGCCTGCGTCAAACAAACACAAGTTTGTTCCCACCATCTGATGATGGTCCTCATGGAAGTTGCTGCATGATGAGGACCCTGATCGTTCAGGGGCTGTCCCATTTTAGAATCAGCCCTTTCACCATTGCTTGTGTGATTGGGTCAAGGCCATAAAATCTCTAAAGCCTTTTTTTTTTTTCATCTTTTAGCAGAAAACTTTATCTCTGGGCCACAGGTACCCGGTGGGAGATGTGAACAAAGAACTCAACTCAGCAAGGTCTAGGGACATCAGCTAGGGCTACATGTCGGCAGGGGCTACCTGACATGCCTGCATCTGCAAACCAACTGTCACTTTTTACCACTCTCACGCCTACTACCTCACCTCCATCCCAGAAGCACGCATTTCCCATGTCAGTTACCTTTCCTGGAGTTCAAAACAACCTTTTACAAACAGGGAATCAGAGACAGGATCATTCGTGATCACTAAGCCGGTGAGGACAGACGTTCTATTGTGAAATGGACAGGTTTGATGCACTTTCCCTCCTTTCATACCCTCCTCTATTATCTCTTTGACATCATATCAACTTGAAACACACTTTGTAACAGGAAATTCACACGTGCACCCCCAATAGAGCTGAAACCCCCACTAACTAGCTTGTACATGATGTCCCTCTCTAGCTTCTACCCCAGGTGACCCCTCTGCCCTTATTGGAGCGATCCTGTGATAGCCACTCCAGGACATGGAACACTGAATGGGACAATGTGTTGACATTCTGGTGTCCCCTTCACTGTGACGTTGCCACTGGCTGGCACACAGTACACGCCTTCTAATGTTTGCTGTAAGAGAACAAGGCTATGCTGTGGTCTGCATAAAAAATGCATGATCCTTCCTCACCTGATCAGCTGTTCCAGGTGCCCACTGAAGAAGGTGATCAATTTTATTTTAAGCAACTGGAGGTGTTCCAGCCCGAGGAACACAGAGCTGAATTTGGTGACTAACCGTCCTTCGAGTTCATTATCTGACGTGGAATGATGGCACCTGGAGAAAACGAGTTTGCCAAGAGTCTTCATCTCCTTCAGGTAACAACGAAGCTTTCTTATCAGACGTGGCCAGGACATGTTGTGAATTTCCAGCTCTTGAATACTATTCAGGTATATTATTTTCAATGACTTTCTGAGATGTTTAATCGGCGTTAGATAATTGACCAGCTTACTACAGCACAGGTGTACTAAACCTCTCCTTTGGTAAACCCACTGGAAGAGGTATCTCAGGCATTCATCCTGGGGTATTTCCTTGAGGCAGATGTCTATGAACACCTTTAAGGGCTGGTGCTCTCCCATCCTTGGACGGTCCTCTGCTGTCTGCCTCTTACTCATGGTCTCTGGGAAGCAGGACAGGGCCCAGGCTCCAGGCCATCTGGCCCAGAAATTCTCGTCAACATCCCGCAAATCCAGCACTTGAAGTTTCCGCCTCCTGTGGGTAAAGTAAGGGAGAGGCTCAGAATTTAGAAGGACAAATCCCTGACCTTTGCTTTCATTGTCATCCCATAAATCAGCTGCTCCTGTCCTCAGTGCTCCCTGTTCTCTTTGTCTTTTCTTGATCCCTTTTCCCTTTGGATTCTGAGTGGTCCCCACTTCTATTCCCTTTACCTTCCACTGAGAAAAGGCAGGTTTCTGTTCCCACAGTGGACCCTGTATGGTGAGCAGTCCTTTCTCTGAGGATCTGGACAATGGCCAAAGCCTCCCTGATCTTCCTCGCCAACACCATCAGAAGACTCTGGGCTACACTTGGGCTACTTCTCTGCCTGACCCTGCTGTTCTTTCCCTGGACACCTGAGCCCTATCTACCAGCCCTCCTGGGTCACCTCACCTGGGGCGATCCTTCTGTGTAAGCAGCATATGAAGCCCTTCCAGCAATGCTTTTAAGGTCTCCAAATGAAGCGTCTTCATCAGTGATCCCAGAGGGAGGCAGGTGAAGGGCCAGGCCTGCACCATCACCGTCAGAGTCTGGAAGTGTCTCCTGCGGAAGGCCTCCATGAAGAGTGGGAGATAGAGCACCCTGGGCAGCTCCTCCATGGCAGAGATGGACAAGGCCTGGTCTCTCAGCAGGCTCTGCCCCGCCAGCTCCAGGAGTCTGGGTGGGGCCTGGATGCTCATCCTGATAGATCTGCAAGGAAAATCTCTAGAAGACAAATCCAGGGAAAATGTATCACTCTCATGGCAAACACAATCATCTGCTTCTACTGGTACCAGGAAGAATGTCTTCCAAACACCAAGGAGGGAGGGGTCAAGGAGACCACTGGCTTATTAATTTTCATCCATTGCTCCACTGAATCCCAGAACCACCGGACAGTGCCACTGAGGATCCTGAAAGCCAAGCTCTACCTCTTTGAGGAAAAATTTCTTGTCACTTACCAACCTAAAGCAATGAGAATGAGAGTGTCCTGTGGCCCCAGACAGCCTCCATTCTCAGTTTACACCATAAACATGCTGGGGGAACACTAAAGGGACTCCCTAAAATCGATGCCATTATTTTTTATTTTGAAAATTTTCTACCAGAAATGGACCAGGTGCTGTGGCTCATGTCTGTAATCCCAACACTGCTGGACACCAAGGCAGGCAGTTCACTTGAGGTCAGGAGTTCGAGAACAGCCTGGCCTACATAATGAAACGATGTCTCTACTAAATACAAAAAAATTAAGAATCATTTGACTCCAGAAGGCAGAGGTTGCAGAGAGCCAAGATCTCACCACTGCTCTCCAGCCTGGGTGACAGAGTTGGACTCAGACTCAAACAAAAACAAATTGATAAATTAATTAATTAAAATGTTAGCCAGGTGTGGTCATGCATGACTGTAATCCTAGCTACTCTGGAGGCAGAGGAAGGAGAATCACTTGAAGCCCAGAGGCAGAGTTTCCAGGGAGCCCAGCTCAGGGCCCTGCACTCCAGTCTGGGTGACACACTCAGAGTACATCCCAGAAAAAAAACAAAATAATTCACTGGAACTGTAAAAGTGGTGTGATGGTATTCCACAGCATTTGGAAGGTATGTATAGAAATGCTAACTGTACCTGGGCGCGGTGGCTCACTCCTGTAATCCCAGCACTTTGGGAGTCTGAGGGGGGCAGATCTCCTGAGGTCAGGAGTTTGAGGACAGCATGGCCAACATGGCAAAACCCTGTGTCTACTAAAAATACAAAAATTAGCTGGGCATGGTGGTGAGTGCCTGTAATCCAAGCTACTCAGGAGGCTGAAGCAGGAGAATCGCATGTAACTAGGAGGCAGAAATTTCAGTGAACCAAACCACACCATGGCACTCCAGCCTGGGCAACAATAGGGAAACTCCATCTCAAAAACTGTAAAAGTGCTACCATGCTATTCTAGAGCACTGTAACTCTGAGATGAAGGTTCCTATAGACATCACTTCCACATACTCACAATTACCCACTTTTTGATGGATCCTAGGGGCAAAGATAAATCCCATGATCTGAGCAAAACTGCACTCTTGAGATTGCTGTGTGGGATACCTTTAAGGATTTTATGAAAATGAAAGCATACTTGGAGAATCACAATAACACCAAGTCTATGAACTGTAATTGAAAGGCACAAAAACAAATAACTTCAAATGTCAAGAAATAAAAATTCATGTCACTGTAAATTTTTAATATATTTTTAAAAAACCTGCTTCGATAAGAATTTTAAAATGACAAAAACCAAGCACAAATCACAATTTGATGGATGAAGACAAAACTACATTTAGAGGAAAAATGAAAGCCTAAATCTGTTCATCTCACGAAACAGACAGAAAAATATTGTGTGCCACTTTGGGATGTGTGTCACCGTCCCTGACTGGCTGGCTGCTGATCAGATGGGCATGACCCTAAGCAGGTGGTGACTTACCAGCGCTGGACTCACTTTGCAGAGTTCTGGGACCTCTCAGGGAACCAAGCAGTAGCTCCAGGAATGAGTGCTGTGGGTCTCTTCTGGGTACCCTCAGGAGCTTTTATAGACCTTTCTAACCCCACCCTTCCCTTCTCAATCACCAGCTTCCAATCAGAAACTGATACCTGATTAGATCTTGCAGTCACACCCAGTTAATCCTGATTGAGTTTTCAGCTTTCTTCTGACTAATCGATTGAATTAGATACACATTTATGGAAGTAAAAGAATAAATAATAGGGTGAAAGTCTAAAACTCATTCGTTCATTTATTCCCCAAATACTGATGAAGTTTGGCTAATACACGACTTTCGTAGTGATGTAGGGAAGGGATTAATCTGTTCCTGATATTAGGCCAAAAAAAAAAAAACCTTAAGGTGTCCTTATTGGAGGATGTTTGGCCACATCAAAATTGTCAAAATGTTTCAGAGCTACAATAGCCTGAAGAAGATAGTGATGTCATTCCCAAGAAAACAGAATAAAAAGCTGTGTATATCGAATGGTCACCTGTGTTTTATGCTATCTAACATAGCAGATCATATGCACATTCAGGTAGAAGAAAGGAACCACTGAGAGTGTGATCTATCTCAAGACTAAGTCAAGGCTTCACCGAAGGAAATCAGGACAAAGTGACCAAGTGAGGTGGGGACTGAGCGGAATGAGACTAGGTGTTCTAATGGGAACCTGCAAAGGAAACAAGACAATGTAAAACATGGCGGTTATCTTGTGGGCATCTAGATGTCAGGACTCAAAGTCTTTTGTCAAGATTGAGTTTATTTATTGATTGTTTGTTTGATTTTCAGACTGGGCCTACATCTGTCACTCAGGCTGGAGTGCAGTGGCACGATTTCAGCTCACTGCAGCCTCAACCTTCTGGTTCAAGTGATTCTCTCATTTCTGCCTCCCAAGTAGCTGGGAATTACGGGTGCACTCCAACAAGCCCTACTAATTTTTGTATTTTAGTCGAGATGGGGTTTCACCATGTTGGCCCGGCTGGTCTCAAACTCCTGACCTCAAGTGATCTCCTCACCTTGGCCTCCCAAAAGGCTGGGATAACAGGCATCAGCCATCTCACCCACCCTAGATTGAGTTCAGAAATTAAAAGGAGAATCATCAAAAGAGATAGGGCAGACTTAAACCATAACATTCACTTTGAAAACACAGGGGGCAGGTATAGTCTTGGCCCTACTAGAAGGTAAAGGGTGTTTACTCACAAAACTGATGGGCTCCTCTCAGAAAACCAGCTTGCAAAGATGGAATCTAAGAATGTGAACTGGAGCAGAGGCCAGAGAGAAGATTGGGGCCAGACCTGGGAAGGGAGGCTCTCCCAAGCTGGAAGCCACCCAGGTAGAAACTGTGGGCTCTACAGGATGTGAGAGAGAAATGAACGAGGGTCCATATGTCCATCATTGTTCTATCATCTGGAGACCTTTCCTGTAGACTCTGGGATCTTCCCACAGTGGAACATTTCCCAGCAACCATTGGCCCCAGTCATTTTCCAGGACCCTTCATCCAAATCTTAATCTCACCCACTCCCTTCCTACTCTAATTTGATAATTCATGTTTCCTCCTTCTTAGAGTCCTTTCCTGTCGCTAATATTGAACATAGAGATTCTTATCAGAGCATCAACATTAGGCCTACAAAGAAAGCTCAGACCCAGGCACAGTGGCTCATGCCTGTAACATCAGCCCTTTGAGAGGCCAAGGTGGGCTGATCATGAGGTCAGTATATCAAGACCATTCTAGCTAACACGGTGAAACTCCGTCTCTACTAAAAATACAAAAAATTAGCCGAGCATAGTGGCAGATGTCTGCACTCCCAGCTACTCAGAAGGCTGAGGCAGGAGAATCGCTTAAACCCAGGATGTGAAGTTGCAGTGAGCTGAGATGGCGCCACTGCCCTCCATCCTGGGTGACGGCATGACACTGTCAAAAAAGAACAAAAGAAAAAGCAAGCAAGCAAGCAAGCAAGCAAGCAAGCAAGCAAGAAAGAAAGAAAGAAAGAAAGAAAGAAAGAAAGAAAGAAAGAAAGAAGAAAGAAGGAAGGAAGGAAGGAAGGAAGGAAGGAAGGAAGGAAAGAAAGAAGAAAGAAAGAGAAAGAAAGAAAGAAAGAAAGAAAGAAAGAAAGAAAGAAAGAAAGAAAGAAAGAAAGAAAGAAAGAAAAAAGAAAGAAAGAAAGTAAGGAAGGAAGGAAAAGAAAGAAAGACCTCAGGCCTCTAATCCCAGCCCTTTGGGAAGCCAAGAAAGGCAGAGTGCTAGAGCTCAGGAGTTTGTGAGGAATATGGGCAATGTGATGAAACCCTGTCTCTAATACAAATACAAGATATTAGCTGGGGGGAGGCAGTGTGCACCTGTAGGCCAAGCTGCCCAAGAAGTTGAGGTGGGAGGATCACCTGAGCCCAGTGAGGCTTCTACTTCCCACGCCCCACTTTGTAAACCTGAGGCTGAGGGTGAGCTCAACACCAATAATGGTTGTGAGAATCTGTGTTCACTGAGCATCCACGAGGCACAACAGACGGCTGGTACTGATCATCCCGGACCTCAGCTCTTCTTCATGGAGAATCTAAGGCACGTTGCTATTTTCCCCATTTCTAACCTGATAAACCTGAGATTTGGCCAGAGAAAAATCTTCCCATGTTCTGGCAGCAAATGATTGGCAAACCCCTCAGGTGAGGGGCTCAGTGGAACCCCCAAGGTGTTCAATAAGCTAAATATTGGAAAGAACTGGCTAACTGACTCCCTCTTCCTGCCCATTTCAAGGGGTGCAGTAGCACCCCCAGGACCCCAGTGAGAATCCTGCACTTGGGGTCTTTTCTACCATGTTCTGTCACCAGTTCTTCTCGAGGTGCTCATCTGCTGCCAAGCTCAGAGCAACCTTCGAAACCCATCTCAGGAAACGACCTGACCTATTCTCCAATCCCAGAATCCACACTGGGATTCCAAAGCTCCTATGAGGCCCTTGCTTAGGCTCTCTAGAATATTCCTGAGCCTCTGTTTTCTCCCTCAGCCTGAGCTGATGGGGCCGGCGTCACTTTATGCATCCCAAGGCCATCAGCCCATCTCTCCTGGACTTCAGAACATGGCCACAATGCAGAGAGACCCAGCAGTAATTAAGAAATTTTCCCCAGTTTATATTGAGTGATGTTGGTGAACATGGCAAGGCACAAAGCAGGAAACTCCACAGCTGCTGCTCTGGACCTAAAGAGGCACCCTGGACTTCTGGGTGGTGACACTGCCTGGCTTGCAGAGGAAGACCTGACCCTTCTGGTCTTCCAAGGCTGTCAGGATGATGACAGAGCCTTGGACAGGTCCCAGCGCAGGGGCCATCCCTTCCCAGGTTCCCCTGGCCCAGCCTTACAGCTGATAAGGATGCACCTGGAATGCACTAAGTATTTTTTTGTCCAAGCCAGGTCTCTTCTTAGCCTTAGGTGAGGCTTTTTTCAGCTGGGTGCTATGGAAGAACCCGAAGCCCAGTGGGCATCACTGCAATGTCCACATGGTAAGTATGTGTGTGTGTGTGTGGCCACCTAGAAAGGCACAACTCTACCTGACAGAGCTGGTTCCATGGAAGAGAAAAGTATAACATCCCATGTCCCTGGTAGGACAACTTCCTCTGGGAGTCCAGCAAGAAGACGTGGAATCTGCGGACAAGAGGTCCCTGGGTAAAAGCCCTCATTTGAGGATAAGAGTAAAGTTGAACCTTAGACCCTGAGGGATCTATGCCCTTCCCACAGGGCTGCAGCAGAGCCAGCCCTGACTCCCAGGCACAATAGCCCAGAGAGATCTTCGAAGGGAAGTAAACCTGCTGGGGCCTCAGGGCTCAGAAAAAGCCCTGGACCTATCTCCCAGTCATGCCTCTCCCACTCCCAAGTGCCTCTGGCCCTGGAACTGTCAGAGACCCCTGTGTCTTTTCCATGTGCTCTTCTTCTCCTTTCACTCAGCCCTGCCTCTGCCAATGCTCCCTGCATTTGCCTCCATGTAAGGCCCCCAACCCCAAGCTCTGGCAGTGGCTGGGGAGCTAGGGGTTTTTGTGCCCACCTGGAGAAAGCCTCACTCAGCATGGGCCCGTGTGGGTTCTGCAGTCTTTTCCTACACAGGGTCACCTACAGGTGTTATGGTTGCATCTCCCCTAGAAGAGCCAATGGGGATGGGTGAGGAATCTGAAATCACTCAGGCACCCCACATACAAATGAGAGCCAGGGTCCCTGCAAGCACAGGCCCCGGGGTAGGTCCTGGCCCTTGTTGTTGCCTTCTGATCCCAGAGGCCTTGGGTTTGTGGTCACAGGAGCCCTACCTACTTCCCATGCACCCCCAGCCCAAGATAAACAAATTCCTGCAGCCTCCCCGGTCCATGTACTTGAGATCTCCAAATCGTGCCACTTCACTCCAACCTGGACGACAGGGCGAGACTCGGGGCCAAAAAAAAAATTAGCTGAGCATGGTGGCAGGCACTTGTAGTCCGAGCTATTTGGGAGGCTGAGGTAGGAGAATCACTTGAAGCCAGGAGGCAGAGGTTTAAGTGAGCTGAGATAGAGCCACTACACTGCAGCCTGGGAAATAGAGCAAGACTCCGTCTCAGGAAAAAGAGACAAGAAAAAGAGAAAATCAGAAGCACCGAGCTGTGTTTTTAATGAGGTCCTGCCCCAGGAAGTCAGGCATCCAAATGAAATTTCCTCATTTTTATCAATTCCCTCCTGTTCTTTACTTCTCTTTACAAATCTGTTACCTCCTGACTTTGTTCTGTGGCTGATCAGTGGGTGAATACCCACAAGATGCACACACAGGGCCAGGAACATTCTATGTGGGCAAAGAGTGTGAGTCACTCAAGTAAAGCCCCTTCTCAGGTCCCTCCCTGCTAACCAGATGCTGAGACCCTGTTCAGTCCTAATGGGCAGATTGAGAAGAATCCATTTCTGACCATTAGCTGTGCTGGGACAGAGATTCACTGCACAAGGCATGGCCCCTGCTTTGGAAGGGGACATTCACATCATTGATTACCTGGAGCTTCAGGGCATCACCAACCCATACCTGTCGTCATGGTGGGCAGTGCTCCTTCCTTAATTAAACTAGTTGTGTCTTATAAAGATATCAAAATTCCCTTTTAGCAAAATACTGCCTACAATATATAAATATGGCTGGGTTTGTTGGCTCATACCTATAATAGTAGCACTTTGGGAGGCTGAGGCAGGAGAATCACAAGATCAAGAGATCGAGACCATCCTAGCCAACATGGTGAAACCCCGTCTCTACTAAAACTACAAAAATTAGCTGGACATGTTGTCACATGCCTGTACTCCCAGCTACTAGAGAGGCTGAGGCAGGAGAATTGCTTGAACCCAGGAGGCGTAGGTTGCTGTGAGCTGAGATTGTGCCACCACACTTCAGCCTCATGACAGAGTGAGACTCCATCTCAAAAACAAAACAAAACAAAAGAAAATAACATATAAATACTAATAATCATATAGACATAAAACATGGTTTAAATATTTCTTTACCACATTCAAAAATCAAGCATGCTTTTTGGGGGCCAGGTCATATTGATGAGAGATCCTTTCTTAACACCCTTCCCATACCTAGCAGACTAAAGAAGAAGACTAGCGTATGCAGGGAAAAGAAAGAGAGATCAGACGGTTACTGTGTCTATGTAGAAAAGGAAGACATAAGAAACTTCATTTTGATCTGTACCCTGACTTTGCCCTGAGATGCTGTTAATCTGTAACTTTAGCCCCAACTTTGAGCTCACAGCAGCATGTGTTGTATAGAATCAAGGTTTAAGGGATCCAGGGCTGTGCAGGATGTGCTTTGCTAGCAAAAGGTTTACAGGCAGTATGCTTGATAAAAGTCATCACCATTCTCCATTCTCAAGTAACCAGGGGTGCAATACACTGTGAAAAACCTCAGGGACCCCTGCCCTGGAAAGCCAGGTATTGTCCAAGGTTTCTCCCCATGTGATAGTCTGAAATATGACCTCATTGGATGGGAAAGACCTGACCTTCCACCCAGCTTGACATCCATTAAGGGTCTGTGCTGAGGAGGATTAGTAAAAGAGGAAGGCCTCTTGCAGTTGAGATAAGAGGAAGGCTTCTGTCTCCTGCCTGCCCCTGGGAACTGAATGCCTCAGTATAAAA
Source organism: Homo sapiens (assembly GCF_000001405.40). NCBI lineage: Eukaryota > Metazoa > Chordata > Mammalia > Primates > Hominidae > Homo > Homo sapiens. The sequence continues at coordinate 361,838 of NW_012132914.1, forward strand.
CCTGATTATACATTTGTTCTATTCTGAGATAGGAGAAAAACTGCCTGTGGTGGGAGGCGAGACATGTTGGCAGCAATGCTGCTTTGTTACTCTTTACTCCATTGAGATGTTTGGGTGGAGAAAAGCATAAATCTGGCCTATGTGCACATCCAGGCATAGTACCATCCCTTGAACTTATTTGTGACACAGATTCCTCTGCTCACATGTTTTCTTGCTGACTTTCTCCCCACTATCACCCTGCTCTCCTGCCACTTTTCCCTTACTGAGTTAGTGAAAATAGTAATCAATAAATACTGAGGGAACTCAGAGACCAGTGCCGGTGTGGGTCCTCCGTATGCTGAGCAGCAGTCCCCTGGGCCCATTTTTCTTTCTCTATACTTTGTCTCTGTGTCTTATTTCTTTTCTCAGTCTCTTGTCCTGCCTGATGAGAAATACCCACAGGTGTGGAGTGGCTGACCCCCTTCACCTGGCGCCCAACGTGGGCCTTTCTCTAGGGTGAAGGTACGCTAAAAACGTGAGCATTGAAGACAGTCAACGAGAGATTCCCAAGTACTTCCACGGTCAGCCATGCGGTAAGCTTGTGTGCTCAGAGGAACCCAGGGTAACAATGGGACAAACTGAAAGTAAATATGCCTCTTATCTCAGCTTCATTAAAATTCTTCTAAGAAGATGGGGAGTTAGAGCTTCTACAGAAAATCTAATTATGCTATTTCAAACAATAGAACAATTCTGCCCATGGTTTCCAAAACAAGGACTTTAGATCTAAAAGATTGGGGGAAAATTGGCAAAGAATTAAAACAAGCAAGTAGGGAAGATAAAATCATCCCACTTACAGTATGGAATGATTGGCCCATTATTAAAACAACTTTAGAACCGTTTCAAATAGAAAAAGATAGCCTTTCAATTTCTGATGCCCCTGAAAGCTGTGTAGTAGATTGTGAAGAAGAGGCAGAGACAAAATCCCGGAAATTAATGGAAAGTTCACATTGTAAAATGTAACAGAGTCTGTAATGGCTCAGTCAACGCAAAATGTTGACTACAATCAGTTACAGGAGGTAATATATCCTGAATCATCAAAACTGGTGGAAGGAGGTCCAGAATTATTGGGGCTACCAGAGCCTAAACCACAATGGCCATCAACTCCTCCTCCAGTGGTTCAGATGCCTGTAACATTACAACCTCAAATGCAGGTTAGACAAGTGCAAACCCCAAGAGAATATCATGTAGAAAAGGATAGAGTCTCTATCCCGGCCATGCCAATTCAGATACAGTATCCACAATATCAGCTGGTAGAAAATAAGACCCAACCACCGGTAGTTTATCAATACTGGCCGCCAGCTGAGCTTCAGTATGGGCCGTCTCCGGAGGTTCAATACAGACCTCAAGCTGTGTGTCCCGTGCCACATAGCACGGCACCTCACCAGCAACCCAGCGGTGTTTAGTCCTACATCACCACCTAGTGGACAAGGTAGTACACTGCATGAAATCATTGATAAAGCCAGAAAACAGGGAGATCTTGAGGCATGGCAGTTCCTTGTAATTTTACAACCAATACCAGCTGGGAAAGGGGGGCAAGCTGGAGCGTCTGTCCAAACTGAGGCTAGATATGAATCTTTCACCATGAAAATGTTAAAAGATATGAAGGAAGGAGTTAAACAATATGGACCCAACTCCCCTTATATGAGAACTTTATTAGATCCCATTGCTCATGGAAATAGACTTATTCCCTATGATTGGGAAATGTTGGCTAAATCTTCCCTTCCACCCTCTCAGTTCCTACAATTTAAAACCTGGTGGATTGATGGAGTACAAGAACAGGCACGAAAAGTCAGGCTATTTATCCCGCTGTTAATATAGATGCAGATCGATTGCTAGGAACAGGTCCAAATTGGAGTACAATTGGCCAACAGTCAGTAATGCAGAATGAGGGTATTGAACATCTAAGGGCTCTTTGCCTCAGGGACTGGGAAAAAATTCAGGACCCAGGCACCTGGGTGCCCCACACACCACTTGCCCAGGCATCACTTGCCCAGGCACCGCTTGCCCTTCTTCTAATTCAATTAGACAAGGCTGCAAAGAGCCATATGCAGACTCCGTGGCAAGGTTGCAAGATGCCTCTGAAAAATCTGTTTCGGATGATAATGCTCAAAAAGTTATTGTAGAAATAATGGCTTATCAAAAGTCAAATCCAGAATTTCAACCAGCCATAAAGCCATTAAAAGGAAAAGGTCCAGCAGGAGTTGATGTAATTACAGAATATGTGAAAGCTTGTGATGGGATTGGAGGAGCTATGCGTAAGGCAATGCTAATGGCTCAAGCAATGACCGGAGTCACTTTAGGAGGATAGTTAGAGCATTTGGGGGGAAATGTTATAATTGTGGTCAAATCGGTCATCTAAAAAAGAACTGCCCAGTCTTAAATAAACAGAGTAAAAATAAAGAGCCACCTGGCCTGTGTCCAAGACATGGAAAAGGAAAACATTGGGCTAATCAATGTCGTTCTAAATATGATAAAAATGGGCAACTATTGTCAGAAAAAGGGGTGAGGGGCCAGCCTCAGTCCCAACAACAAACTGGGGCATTCCCGATTCAGCCGTTTGTTCTTCAGGGTTTTCAGGGACAGCAACCACCACAGCAAATACCACCACTTCAGGGAATCAGCCAATTACAACAATACAACAGCTGTCCCCCGCCACAGCAGGCAGCACAGCAGTAGATTTATGTTCCACTCAAAAGGTTTCTTTACTCCCTGGAGAGACCCCGCAAAAGATTGCTACAGGGGTATATGGCCCACTGCCAGGAGGGACAGTAGGCCTCATTTTAGGGAGATGAAGTCTAAATTTGAAGGGAGTCCAAATTCATACTGGGGTAATTGATTCAGATTATAAAGGGGAAATTCAGTTAGTGATCAGCTCCACTGTTCCCTGGAGTGCCAATCCAGGTAATAGAATTGCTCAATTATTGCTTTTGCCTTATATTAAAATTGGGGAAAATAAAACGGAAAGGACAGGAGGGTTTGGAAGTACCAACTCTGCCGGAAAAGCCACTCACTGGGCTCGTCAGGTCTCAGAGAATAGACCTGTGTGTACAGTCACTATTCAGGGAAAGCAGTTTATAGGATTAGTGGATACCGATGCTGATGTTTCCATTATCGCCTTAAATCAATGGCCAAAAAATTGGCCTAAACAAAAGCCTGTTACAGGACTTGTCGGTGTGGGCAGCGCCTCAAAAGTGTATCAAAGCACCATGATTTTACATTGTCTAGGACCTGATAAACAAGAAAGTACAGTTCAACCTATGATTACTTTTATTCCAATTAATTTATGGGGCCGAGACTTGTTACAACAATGGCATGCAGAGATGACTATCCCAGCCTCCTTATACAGCCCCACGAGTCAAAAAATCAGACTAAAATGGGGTATCTCCCTGGCAAAGGACTAGGGAAAAATGGAGATGGCATTAAAATCCCAATTGAGGCTGAGGGAAATCAAGAAAGAAAAGGAATAGGATATCCTTTTTAGGAGTGGCCACTGTAGAGCCCCCAAAACCCATTCCATTAACTTGGAAAACAGAAAAACCTGTATGGGTAAATCAGTGGCTGCTACCAAAACAAAAGCTGGAGGCTTTACACTTACGGGCAAAAGAACAATTAGCAAAGGGACATATTGAGCCTTCATTTTCGCCTTGAATTCTCCTGTGTTTGTAACTCAGAAAAAATCCAGCAGATGGCACATGTTAACCGACTTAAGAGCCGTCAATGCTGTAATTCAACCTATGGGGGCTCTCCAACCTGGGTTGCCCTCTCTGGCCATGATCCCCAAAGATTGGCCTTTAATTATAATTGATCTGAAGGATTGCTTTTTTACCATTCCTCTAGCAAAACAGGATTTTGAAAAATTTGCTTTTACTATACCAGCCATAAATAATAAAGAACCAGCCACCAGGTTTCAGTGGAAAGTGTTGCCTCAGGGAATGCTTAATTGTCCAACTATTTGTCAGATTTTTGTAGCTGAAGCTCTTCAACCAGTTAGAGACAAGTTTTCAGACTACGTCTTTCATTATGTTGATGATCTTTTGTGTGCTGCAGAAACGAGAGACACATTAATTGACTGTTACACATTTCTGCAGACAGAGGTTGCAAACTCAGGACTGACAATAGCATCTGATAAGATTCAAACCTCTACTCCTGTCCATTACTTGGGAATGCAGGTAGAGGAAAGAAAATTTAAACAACAAAAAATAGAAATAAGAAAAGACATTAAAAACATTAAACGACTTTCATAAATTGCTAGGAGATATTAATTGGATTTGGTCAACTCTAGGCATCCTTACTTATGCCATGTCAAATTTGTTCTCTATCTTGAGTGGGGATCCAGAATTGAATAGTAAAAGAACATTAACTCCAGAGGCAACTAAAGAAATTGAATTAATTGAAGAAAAAATTCGGTCAGCACAAGTAAATAGAATAGATCACTTCACCCCACTCCAACTTTTGATTTTTGCTACTGCACATTCTCAACAGGCATTATTGTTCAAAATACAGATCTTGTGGAGTGATCTTTCCTTCCTCACAGTACGATTAAGACTTTTACATTGTACTTGGATCAAATGGCTACATTAATTGGTCAGGCAAGATTACAAATAATAAAATTGTGTGGAAGTGACCCAGATAAAATCATTGTTCCTTTAAACAAGGAAGAGTTTAGACAAGGCTTTATCAATTCTGCTGCATGGCAGATTGCTCTTGCTGATTTTGTGGGAATTATTGATAACCATTACCCAAAAACAAAAATCTTCCAGTTTTTAAAATTGACTACTTGAATTTTACCTAAAATTACCAGACATAAACCTTTAGAAAATGCTCTGACTGTGTTTACTGATGGTTCCAGCAATGGAAAAGTGGTTTACACCAGGCCGAAAGAACGAGTCATTGAAAATCAGATTCTGCATATGTAGTACAGCTACAAAGGATGTTGAGACAGCCCTAACCAAATATAGTATGGATGATCAGTTAAACCAGTCCTTTTATTTGTTACAACAAATTGTAAGAAAAAGAAATCTCCCATTTTATATTACTCATATATGAGCACATACTAATTTACCAAGGCCTTTAACTAAAGCAAATGAACAAGCTGACTTGCTAGCATCATCTGCATTCATAGAAGCACAAGAACTTCATGCTTTGACTCATGTAAATGCAACAGGACTAAAAAATAAATTTGATATCACATGGAAACAGGCAAAAAATATTGTACAACATTGCACCCAGTGTCAAGTCCTACACCTGCCCACTCAGGAGGCAGGAGTTAATCCCAGAGGTCTATGTCCTAATGCATTATGGCAAATGGATGTCACACATGTACCTTCATTTGGAAAATCATCGTTTGTCCATGTGACAGTTGATTCTTATCTGCATGTTGTATGGGCAACCTGCCAGACAGGAGAAAGTACTTCCCATGTTAAAAGACATTTATTATCTTGTTTTGCTGTCATGGGAGTTCCAAAAAAAAATTAAAACACGTAATGGGCCAGGATACTGTAGTAAAACATTTTAAAAATTGTGAAATCAGTGACAAATTACACATACAACAGGAATCCCCTATAATTCCCAAGGACAGGCCATAATTGAAAGAACTAATAGAACACTCAAAGCTGAATTGGTGAAACAAAAAAAGGAAAAAGACATTAAGGAGTATAACACTCCCCAGATGCAACTTAATTTAGCACTCTATACTTTAAATTTTTTAAACATTTATAGAAATCAGACCACTACTTCTGCAGAGCAACATTTTACTGGTAAAAAGAACAGCCCACATGAAGGAAAACTGATTTGGTGGAAAGACAACAAAAATAAGACAAGGGAAATAGGGAAAATGATAACATGGGGGAGAGGTTTTGCTTGTGTTTCACCAGGAGAAAATCAGCTTCCTGTTTGGATACCCACTAGACATTTAAAGTTCTACAATGAACCCATCGGAGATGCAAAGAGAAGCGCCACCACGGAGATGGAAAACCCGCAATCGAGCATCATCGACTCACCGGGTGAACAAAATGGTGATATCAGAAGAACAGATGAAGCTGCCATCCACCAAGAAAGTGGGGCCACTGACCTGGGCCCAATTAAAGAAGCTGACACAGTTAGCTGAAAAAAGCCTGAAGAACAAAAAGGGTAACACAAACTCCAGAGAACATGCTGCCTGCAGCTTTGATGATTGTATCAACGGTGGTAAGTCTCCCTGTGACTGCAGGAGCAGCCACAACTAATCATACTTACCGGGACTGTGTGCCTTTCCCGCCCTTAATTCAGGCAGTCACATGGATGGATAATCCTATTGAAGTATATGTTAATAATAGTGCATGGGTACCAGGCCTCACAGATGATCGTTGCCCTGCCCAACCTAAAAAAGAATTGATGATAAATATTTCCACTGGGTATCATTATCCTCCTATTTGCCAAGGGAAGGTGCCAGGATATTTAATGCCTACAACCCCAAATTGGTTGGTAGAAGTACCTACTGTCAGTGCCACCAGTAGATTTACTTATCACATAGTAAGTGGGATGTCACTCGGGCCACAGATAAAATAATTTACAGGACTCTTCTTATCAAAGATCATTAAAATTTAGGCCTAAGGGGAAGCCTTGCCCCAAGAAAATTCCCAAAGAATCAAAAGGCCCAAAAGTTTCAGTTTGGGAAGAATGTGTGGCTGATACTGCGGTGGTATTACAAAACAATGAATTTAGAACTATTATAGACCGGGCCCCTCGAGGCCAATTTTATTATAATTGTACAGGCCAGACTCTCTCATGTTCACAGCCCCATCCATCTGGCCCATTAATCTGGCCTATGAGAGTGATTTAACTGAAAGGCTGGATCAGGTTTATAGAAAGTTACAATCACCCTATCCATGGAAATGGGGTGAAAAGCGAATTTCATCACCTCGACCAAAGTTAGTTAGTCCTGTTACTGGTCCTGAACATCCAGAATTATGAAAGCTTACTGTGGCCTCACACCACATTAGAATTTGGTCTGAAAATCAAGCTATAGGAACAAGAGATCGTAAGCCATATTATACTATTAACTTAAATTCCAATCCGACAATTCCTTTGCAAAGTTGTGTAAAACCCCCTTATATGCTAGTTGTAGGAAACATAGTTATTAAACCAGATTCCCAAACTATAACCTGTGAAAACAGTAGATTGTTTACTTGCATTGATTAGACTTTTGATTGGCAGCACCGTATTCTGCTGGTGAGGGCAAGAGAGGGCATGGGGATCCCTGTGTCCATGGACTGACAGTGGGAGGCTTCCCCATCTGTCCATATTTTAACAGAAGTATTGAAAGGAGTTCTAACTAGATCCAAAAGATTCTTTTTTACTTTGATTGCAGTGATTTTGGGTCTTATTGCAGTCACAGCTACTGCTGTGGCTGCTGGAATTGCTTTACACTTCTCTGTTCAAACTGCAGAATATGTAAATAATTGGCAAAAGAATTCCTCAAAATTGTGGAATTCTCAGACCCAAATAGATCAAAAATTGGCAAACCAAATTAATGATCTTAGACAAACTGTCATTTGGATGGGAGATAGGCTCATGAGCTTGGAATATCTTTTTCAGTTACAGTATGACTGGAATATGTCAGATTTTTGTATTAAACCCCAAGCGTATAATGAGTCTGAGCATCACTGGGACATGACGCCAACTACAAGGAAGAGAAGATAATCTTACTTTAGATATTTTAAAATTAAAAGAACAAGTTTTTGAGGCATCAAAAGCCCATTTAAATTTGGTGCCAGAAACTGAGGCAATCATGAAAGTTGCTGATGGCCTCACAAATCTTAACCCTGTCACTTGGGTTAAAACCATCAGAAATTCAACTGTTGTAATTTCATATTAATCCTGGTATATCTGTTTTGTCTGTTGTTAGTCTACAGGTGTATCCAGCAGCTCCAAAGAGAGAGCGACCAGTGAGAACGGGCCATGATGATGATGGCGGTTTTCTCAAAAAGAAAAGGGGGATATGTAGGGAAAAGAAAGAGAGATCAGACGGTTACTGTGTCTATGTAGAAAAGGAAGACATAAGAAATTTCATTTTTATCTGTACCCTGAACAATTGCTTTGCCCTGAGATGCTGTTAATTTGTAACTTTAGCCCCAACCTTGAGCTCACAGAAACATGTGTTGTATGGAATCGAGGTTTAAGGGATCTAGGGCTGTGCAGGATGTGCCTTGTTTACAAAATATTTACAGGCAGTGTGCTTGATAAAAGTCATCGCCGTTCTTCATTCTCAAGTAACCAGGGGCACAATGCACTGTGGAAAGCCGCAGGGACCTCTGCCCTGGAAAGCCAGGTATTGTCCAAGGTTTCTCCCCATGTGATAGTCTGAAATATGACCTCATGGGATGGGAAAGACCTGACCGTCCCCAAGCCTGACACCCGTGAAGGGTCTGTGCTGAGGAGGATTAGTAAAAGAGGAAGGCTTCTTGCAGCTGAGATAAGAGGAAGGCCTCTGTCTCCTGCCTGCCCCTGGGAATGCAATGTCTTGGTATAAATCCCGATTGTACATTTGTTCCATTCTTTGATAGGAGAAAAACCGCCTTGTGGCAGGAGGTGGGACATGTTGGGAGCAATGCTGCTTTGTTACTCTTTACTCCATTGAGATGTTTGGGTGGAGAAAAGCATAAATCTGGCCTATGTGCACATCCAGGCATAGAACCTTCCCTTGAACTTATTTGTGACACAGATTCCTTTGCTCACATGTTTTCTTGCTGACCTTCTCCCCTCTATCACCCTGCTCTCCTGCCACGTTCCCCTTGATGAGATAGTGAAAACAGTAATCAATAAAAACTGAGAAAACTCAGAGACCAGTGCTAGTGCAGGTCCTCCGTATGCTGAGCGCCGGTCCCCTGGGCCCAATTTCTTTCTCTATACTTTGTCTCTGTGTCTTATTTCTTTCCTCAGTCTCTCATCCCACCTGAGGAGAAGTAACCACAGGTGTGGAGAGGCTGGCCCCACTTCAAGTGTATAGAATTCTGGTGTGGCATGTCCCATCAGGTTACTTAAGGGTGCATGTCCCCTGCCTGAACCCTGAAGGCCAGGTGGGAAGCCAAGTCTCTTGTGCCCAGCCAAGAAGCAGGTGTCCCCGAGAACCCAAACATCCCAGACAGTATCTGAGAACCTACCAGGCAGAAGAGGCTGATTGCTCAAAATCAGTGGACAAAGAGCCAGAAAATTCACTTAAAAGCAGTTTAGAGACAGGAGGTGGCACAGATCTTTGGGGCTGTGCTGCTGCTGCCCTGGAGTGCCCTGCATGTGAATCCTAATCAACTCATTATTTGCCAAGCTGGGCTCATCTGAGTCATCCTTTGATCTCTTGGCTCCTTTCCGGTTTGGCGGGGAAAATGATACGGCCCTGGTTTTTCTCAGAGCAAGCGTGTTTTGGAATCGCACATCCTTCGAGGGCAGATAATAGTCAAGTGCCTGTGGGTGATGAGTGACTTTCCCTATGGTGAGAAACCCTACACAAAGGGCATCTGAGTGAGGACCCTGCTGGGGACTCAGGTGAGAAATCCTACACGAAGGACATCCGAGTGAGGACCCTGCTCAGGACTCAGATGAGAAACCCTACAAAAAGGGCATCCGAGTGAGGACCCTGCTCAGGACTCAGATGAGAAACCCTACACAAAGGACATCCAAGTGAGGACCCTGCTGAGGGCTCAGGTGAGAAACCCTACACAAAGGACATCCGAGTGAGGACCCTGCTCAGGACTCAGATGAGAAACCCTACACAAAGGACATCCGAGTGAGGACCCTGCTCAGGACTCAGATGAGAAACCCTACACAAAGGGCATCCAAGTGAGGACCCTGCTGAGGACTCAGGTGAGAAACCCTACACAAAGGACATCCGAGTGAGGACCCTGCAGAGGATTCAGATGAGAAACCCTACACAAACGGCATCCAGGTGAGGACCCTGCTGAGGACTCAGGTAAGAAACCCTACACAAAGAGTATCTGAGTGAGGACCATGCTGAGAACTCAGGGCCTGGTGTTGTTGGGCAGGAACCTTGGGCGAGAGCCTCAGTTTTCCTGAAAAATGAGGATGATGATGTCCACCACCTGTGTGACCCTGGTAGAATCGAATGAGATGGGGCAACTTAAGGGCTTGGCATAGGGCCTGGCATACAGGAAGAGTGAAATTAATGCATTTTTTCTACTTTTTCCCTCCCAGCAGAAGCCTCCATGATTATTCATCCCTCGTTCTGAAAACTAAAAATAAAATCCTAAGCTCCCCCTATGAACTGAACAGATTCCCTCTCGGCCAAGTGTACCCAGAGAAATCTTTAAAACTGAGTTCCTGGCCATGGCAGGATGGGAGGATAGACACGTCTCATTTTACTTCCTTCCTTTCATGGTTGAGACACAAAAACTGACCAGCATTCATGTTAAAATAGAGATTATAAGGCTGACTGAATTGACTATTTAGGGTAATAAGATACCAAGTTATATACAGGACCTAAGGTCTTACCAGGCAAGGGTTAAGTCAAGGGCCCCTACCCTTAAAAAATGAACTATATACTTTTTTTTTTTTTTTTTTTGAGGCAGCGTCTCGCTTTGTAGCCCAGGCTGAAGTGCAGTGGCATGATCTTGGCTCACTGCAACCTCTGCCTCCCAGGTTCAAGCAATTCTCCTGCCTCAGCCTCCCGAGTAGCTGGGATTACAGGTGCATGCCACCACACCTGGCTAATTTTTTGTATTTTTAGTACAGACAGGGTTTCACCATGTTGGCCAGGCTGGTCTTGACCTGCTGACCTCATTATCCACCCGCCTCAGCCTCCCAAAGTGCTGGGATTACAGGCAAGAGCCACTGTGCCCAGCTGAATGAACTATATTCTAACTGCCACAGGGTTTTTCTCTCTCTAGCAGCTGAACAAGCACTGGCCCTAAGATAAGCAATATTGAAATGATTGCAGCTCATCCATCCCAGATTCTGACTAACTGACCCCCTGTTCCACAAGCCATGACTCCAGCTTTGATTGGACAAGAGATTGATTCCAGTAACTTTCTGCTGATGAGAGGCCTCTGAGCATTGACTGCTTCTGGCCACTTGAAAGAGACTTAGCACGCGAGCGTCTTCATGTCCCTGATGAACCATTTGATATGGGGGGGTCTAGCTGCAATGCATTGAAACATGAAGTCTCGGCGCAGCACGGTGGCTCACGCCTGTAATCCCAGCACTTTGGAACACTCTGGGAGACCGAGGCGGCAGATCACCTGAGGTCAGGCGTTCCAGACCAGCCTGGCCAACATAGTGAAACCCTATCGCTACTAAAAATAGAAAAAGTGGGCCAGGCGCGGTGGCTCACGCCTGTAATCCCAGCACTTTGGGAGGCCTAGGAGGGCGGATCACAAGGTCAGGAGATCGAGACAATCCTGGTTAACACAGAGAAACCCCGTCTCTACTAAAAATACAAAAATTAGCTGGGCGTGGCGGCGTGTGCCTGTAGTCCGAGCTGCTGGGGAGGCTGAGGCAGGAGAATGGCGTGAACCCGGGAAGTGGAGCTTGCAGTGAGCAGAGATTGCACCACTGCACTCCAGCCTGGGTGACAGAGCAAGACTCCATCTCAAAAAAAAAAAAAAAAAAAAAAGTAGCCAGGTGTGGTGGCATGTACCTGTAGTCTCAGCTACTTGGCTGACACAGGAGAATCGCTTGAACCTGGGAGGTGGAGGATGCAGTGAGCTGATACGGTGCCATTGCAGTCCAGCCTGGGTGACATAGCAAGACTCTGTCTCAAAAAGAAAAAGAAATGTGAAGTCTCCACCCCAAAGTGAACATGGGACATAAGCCACATGAATGTTTATTCAGTATGCATGTGTTAGGCCCCCTTCAAGAATACTCATAGCCCATTTCATGACCTGTTGAGTGTGTATACTTGGCCAACCCACTCAGCATAAATTCCTGCCTCATCACTTCCTCCCTGGAAATACCAGTGAAGGATCTTTTCTGAAAGCTGCACTTTCGAGCCTGAGGCATGGCGAGCCTACAGGCCATAAGCTACAGAAATATATCCTTTTTTTCCTTTTTAAGTAGAGACAGGATTTTGCTTTGTTGCCCAGGCTAGAACTCCTTGGTTCAAGCAATCCACCCACATCGGCCTCCCAAAGTGCTGGAATTACAGGCGTGAGCCACCTTGCTTGGCCTATAGAATTATAGCTTTTTTTTTTTTTGAGAGGGAGTCTCACTCTTTGCCCAGGCTGCAGTGCAGCAGCACGATCTCGGCTCACTGCAATCTCCGCCTCCCGGGTTCAAGCGATTCTCCTTGACTCAGCCTCCTGAGTAGCTAGGATTACAGGCACGTGCCACCATGCCCAGCTAATTTTTGTATTTTTAGTAGAGACGGGGTTTCACCATGTTGGCCAGGATGGTCTCCATCTCTTGACCTCGTGATCCACCCGCCTTGGCCTCCCAAAGTGCTGGGATTACAGGCGTGAGCCACCACACCCGGCCTAGAAATATATGTTATAATAAAATAGAGCCATGTGTGGTGGCTCATGCCTGTAATCCCAATACTTTGTAAGGCTAAGATTGGAGCCCTGCCTGAGCCTGGCCGTTCTGGACCAGCCCGGGTAATATAGAGACACTCCAGTAACGTGAGACTCTAGCACATGTTGAGTGGGAGTGGTCACATGTGGATGCTCATCGCAGCACTATTCACAACAGCAAAGACATGGAATCCACTGGAATGCACATCAGTGGTGGACTGGATTAACAAAATATGGTACAGATACACCATGGAAACCTACACAGCTTGAAACAAGAACAAGATAATGCCCTTTCATTAAGTCCTCATCCTCCTTTTGCTGCAACACGGATGGAGCTAGAAGCCGTTATGCTAAGCAAACTAAAGCAGGCACAGAAAACCAAACACCACATGTTCTCACTTATAAATGAGAGCCAAATATTAAGTATACATGACATAATAATGGGAACAATAGACGCCCGGGACTACTGGAGAGTGGAGGGTGGAAGGGGAGTGGGTATCAACAAACTACCAAAACTGGCTGGACATGGTGGCTCACACCTCTAATCCCAGCACTGAGGCAGTGCACCATTTGAGGTCAGGAGTTCTCCATGTCCAACATGGTGAAACCCTGTCTCTACTAAAAATGCAAAAACTTAGCCTGGCGTGGTAATGCAAGTCTGTAGTCTCAGCTACTTGGGAGGCCGAGGCAGGAGAATTGCTTGACTCTGGGAGGCAGAGGTTGCAGTGAGCTGAGAGCATGCCACTACACTCCAGCCTGGGTGACAGAGTGAGACGCCACCTCAAAAAACAAACAAACAAACAAATAAACAAAAGCTACCAAAATTATTTATCTGATAGTTTGTCTATTATCTATAGAACAAACCTGCATCTGTATTCCTGGAACTAAAATACAAGTTTGAAAACCTGCGATTTTCAGTGATTGGTTAGAGACCTGACAAATAGCCATCACATTAGAGTCACCCACTAGATTTCTGCTTTGTCATTTTGGGGAGGTCACAGTTTCCTGTTTGCTCTAGTTTCTTGTAGATATAGATCTGTATTTTTGCACTGAAGGAAGAATGATTTACTCCAGTTTTCTCTGTCTGGCTTGCTTTGGTTTGGACTGAATACATTCCCTTAGTGAATCTTCACCACTAGGTTGCTGCTTCCTTCTTGGCTCCAGGTGGTGGCTTAAGCCCAGGTTTACCTAAGTTTTAGTAAACCACAAGAGTGCTGCCAGTCCCAAATGGGGAAAGTCCCAAAGGGATTCTCATGGCAGTGTAGGAGCGCTAGCTAGGTCAAGCCCAGGTTTTCCTGTTTTTTGATAAGGAGAGAAGGGAGGTGTGATAGGAAGATCTCTCATTGAAATGAGTTAGTTTCCAAAAGGATGTATATTTCCATTAATATGGGCTGGAAATATTTAGAATGTATTATCCACCTAAATGATTTTAGCATTATTCTAAGAGAAATTGGATATCTTTACTGGACACAATCACTTTAATTCAGTAAACCCCACTAGTCACCATGAGGACAGGTCAGTGCCCTGGTTTTCCCGTTTTTTGATAAGGAGAGAAGGGAGGTGTTACAGGAAGATGTCTCATTGAAATGAGTTAATTTCCAAAAGGATGCATATTGATGTGGGCTAGAAATATTTAGAATGTGTCATCTACCTAAATGATTTTACTATTCTTCTAAGAGAAATTGGACATCTTTACTACACACAATTATGTTAATTCAGTAAAACCCACTAGCCACCATGAGGACAGGCAAGTGTTGGTGATGCCATGAGGCTCCCGCTAGTACACACTATGGCCATTCCCTCCCAAGGCAGGGGGCCGCACCTTGTGCAGTGAAGCCCTTTCCTGACATGGCCAATGATCAGGAACAGATTCTCCCAGATCTGCCCATTAGGAGTGAGCAGGGTCTCGGTATCTGGGGAGCAGTGAGGGCCCCTGACAAGAAGAGGGTTGACTCAATGGTTCATCATCACTGCCCACATAGAATGTTCCAGGTCCCAGGCATGCATCTTTTGTGGATGAACCCAGTAAATAACCACAGGAGAAAGTAAGGAAGAGATGACTGGAGAGGTAAAGAATGGGCATAAATTAATCAAAGTTTAGGCTAGGCACGTTGGTTCACGCCTGTAATCCTAGCACTTTGGGAGGCTTCCTTGAGGTCACCTGAGGTTAGGAGTTTGAGACCAGTCAGGCCAACATCGTGAAACCCCGTCTCTTCTAAAAACACAAATTCCCTTGAACCTGGGAGTTGGAGGTTGCAGTGAGCCAAGATCACACCACTGCACTCCAGCCTAGGTGACCAAGCAAGACTCCGTCAAATAAACAAAACAAACAAACAAAACAGGTCAGGCTCTGTGGCTCATGCCTGTAATCCTAGCACTTTGGGAGGCCAAGGTGGGCAGATTACCTGAGGTCAGGAGTTCGAGACCAGCCTGATCAACATGGAGAAATGCCGTTTCTAATAAAAATACAAAATTAGCTGGGCATGGTGGCGCATGCCTGTGATCCCAGCTACTCGGGAGGCTGAGGCAGGAAAATCGCTTGAACCCAGGAGGCGGAGGTTGTGGTGAGCCAAGATCATGCCATTTCACTCCAGCCTGGGCAACAAGAGCGAATCTCCGTCTAAAACAAAACAAAAAAAAAAGAAAAAAAAACCACAACGACAACATGAAGTTTATTTTGATTCCTTTATTTCCTGCAGATGAACCTAAATCACAGATGAACTAGTACCTCTTTTTTTAATTCATCAGGAACTAAAGATTTCTGATGTATAAATTGCTGAAACAGGCTAATCAATCATGAAGGACAGCAGAGAGTTTCCATTTAGGTTCCCTCTACTTCCGACGTTTCTTTGTATCCATCCTTGCTGAGATAACTCCCTCACTCTAGAACTTCAGCTTTCTATTTCTGACTGTCTAGGACACAGATCCCTGAGTCTCAGTGACTCCATTCAACTTTTTCCCCAGTGCTGCCCCCTGCTGGGATTTTTTGTTTTTTGTTTTCCACTCACAGAAAGCACATGCCTGAAACAGAGGTTTCTCTGTTCCCTTTATAATACACCTATAGACCCGGCACAGCTGCTTATGCCTGTAATCCCAGAATCTTGGGAGGCCAAGCAGGGGGCTCCCTTAAGCGTAAGAGTTTGAGACCAGCCTGGACAACATAGGGAAACCCTGTTTCAAATTTTTAAATAAAAGCTGTAAAATTGTAAAATAAGGAAAAAGAAAAATAAAAGACATCTATGTCCCAGATTTTAGTTTCCAAGTGCCTGGAGAAAAAGCTTTTTATACCTCCACCCCACTAGGCAGGCCTTCCCCACAAGCAAAAATTGGACTCCAGTTGCTCAGTGGGCGACGTGCCACAGCAAGGGCAGGACACCGGACCAAAGAAGATCCTTTTGGGCTCCCTTACTTCCCTCAGTATACGCATCAGCTCAGCCTGAAGTGGGGTGAGGAGCTCCAAAATGACACGACCCCTGTTGTCAAGACTCTCCCGAGGGGCAGGATATGTTTCCAGGCTCAAATTGCTCAGCCTGCCTGTGTGGCGCAGCAGGTCCTTCAGAGCATCCATGGACGTGTCATTGCCGTGAAAACAGAAAGTGGTGAGGTTGGAGCAGCGGCTCAGGGCAGGCAGGATGACCCTGAGTTTGGAGTACCCAATCCCACAGTCCACTAAGAAGAGGGTCTGAAGAGTGGCAGCAACTTTCTCTAGCAGAGCTCGGAGGGGCTCAAGACGGATGAAGCGCAGTGCACCATGACTCAGATTCAGCTGCTTCAGTTGACTGAGACTTGGGTACCGGGGCAGGCATTTCAAGTCCTCTTCTTCTAGGAAGCCATAAGTTAATGCCAATGTCTCCAACGGGCTCCTGAGGCACCTGGGGAGAGCAAGAAGTTAGTACTGGGCAATGGCACCAGTTAGAGGACGGTGGTAGAAAATAACGTCAAGGGAAGAGCCTGTTTTGCCCAAACACAAGTTTGTTCTCATCATCTAATCATGGTCCTCCCGCAAGGTGCTGCCTGATGAGGACTTGGATCATTCAGAGGCAGTCCCATTTTAGGCTCAGTCCTTTCACCATCACTGGTGTGATTGGTTCAAGGCCATAAAATCTCTAAAGCCTCTTTTCTTCATCTTCCAGCAGAAAGCTTCATCTCTGGGCCACAGGAGCCCAGTGGAAGAGATGCCCAAAGAACTGACCTGAGCAAGGTCTAGGGACATCAGCTAGGGCTACCTGCTTTCAGAGGCTCCCTGACATGGCCACATCTGCAAACCACCTGTCACTTTGTACCACTCTCGTGCCTATTCCCTCACCTCCATCCCAGAAGCACGCATTTCCCATGTCACTTACCTTTCCTGGAGTTCAAAACAACCTTTTACAGACAGGGAATCAGAGAGAGGATCATTCATGTTCACTAAGCTGTGAGGACAGAGCTTCCTCTGTGAAACACACAGGTTTGGTGCACTTTCTCTTCTTTTACACCCTCCCCTCTGTTGCCTCTTTTTTATCATATTAACTTTAAACACACTTCCTAACAAGGAATTCCTAAAAGGAATTCACCCTCACTAGAGCTGAACCCTCCACTAACCAGCTCCCTACACGATGTCCCTCTCTGTAGCTTCTACCCCAGGTCATCCCTCTGCCCTTACTGGAGCGATCCTGTGATACCCACTTCAGGATATAGAGCACCAAACAGGACAATGCATTCTAGTGTCCCCTTCCCTAGACATCTCCAGTGGCTGGCACACAGTAGATGCTGATTGGTGTTTATTGTAACAAAAAAAGGCTGTGCTATGGCCCCCAGAGAAAGCTCACCATCCTTCCTCACCTGATCAGCTGGTCCAGGTGGCCTCTGAAGAAGCAGACCCTTCTTACATAAAGCATCTGGAGGTTCTCCAGCCTGAGGAGCACAGAGCTGAATTCAGCAACTAACTGTTCTTGGCTGTCAGAGCTTAGCAGGTAACGACAGCCATCAGAGATGAAGAGTTTGCGAAGATTCCTCATCTGGCTCAGGTAACGGCTAAACTCTACTATCATACACAGCCAGCACATGTTCCAAATTTCCAACACTTGGATACTGTCTGGGTATACTGTTTCCAATATGTTTCTGAAATTTAGAATGCTCATTGAATAATTCACCACCTTAGTACAGCACAGGTGTACTGAACCTCTTCTGTGCTGCACCCACCCAGAGAAGAAGCTCAGATCTTCATCCATGAATTTTTCCTTGAGGCAAACATCCATGAACACCTTCAAGGGCTGCTTCTCTCCTGTCCTTGGACAGTCCTCCACTGTCTGTCTCTTACTCATGGCCTCTGGGGAGCAGGACAGGAGCCTGGCTCCAGACCATATGGTCCAAAAATTCTCATCAACATCCCGCATTTCCAGCACTTGAAGTTTCCACCTCCTGTGAGTAACATAGGGGAAAAGCTCAGAACGTAGACAAGGACCCACCCCTGACCTGGGCTTTCACTCCACATCAAGGACTTCAGCTGCTTTTTTCCTCAGCGCCCCTCCTTCTGTCTCTTCTCCATCCCTTTCCCCCTTGGATTCTGCCTGGTACCCACTTCTAGTGCCTTTACCTTCCACTGGGAGCAGGCAGGTTCCTGTTTCCTCAGTGGACCCTGTATGGTGAGCAGTCCTTTCCCAGAGGAGCTGGGCAATAGCCAAGAACGTTCCCAGCTTTCTCACTGGCACCATCAGAAGCCCCTGGGCCACCCCGGGTTCCCAATTTGTCTGACCCAGCTGTTTAGTCCCTGGACACCTGGGCCCTCCCCACCTGGGTCACCTCACCTGGGGCGAACCTTTTGGGCAAGCAGGCAATCAATCCCATCCACTACATAATGTAAGATCTCCAGATCAGGCGTCTTCATCAGGGACCCCAGAGGGAGGCAGGGGAAGGGCCAGGCCTGCACCATCACCTTCAGAACCTCGCAGCGTCTGCTAGTGAAGGCCTCCACGAACAGTGGGGGGAAGAGCTCCCTGGGCAGCTCATCCAGGACGGAGATGGCCAAGGCCTGGTCCCTCAGCAGGCTCTGCCCTGCCAGCTCCAGGAGTCTGCGTGGGGCCTGGAAGCTCATCCTGATAAATCTGCAAGAAAACAAATCCAGAGAAGACAAACTTATCAGGCCAGTCCTCTCACACCCTGACTTCTCCTGGGCCAAAAGTCACTACTCTGGCAGGTGTGAAAGTCCTTAGTTTACCCCAATTCGACTCTGCAATAATTGGCCACAGAGACATAGTTCTGCCCTTCTGGTACCAAGAAGAGTGTCTCCCAACCTCCAAGGAACGGGCAAGATCACTCCTACTCCATGAATTTTCATTAATTTCTCCACCCAACTCTATTAGCTCTGGGAAGTGTTACCAAGAATCTTCAAAGCTCAGCTCCTTTTTTGAGAAAAAAATGTCTTCTCAATTTAAGGATCTAAAGCAATGGTCATGTGGCTGGGCTTGGTGGCTCACAACTGTAGTCCCAGCACTTTGGAGGCCAAGGCGGGTGGCTCACTTGAGGTCAGGAGTTAGAGACCAGCCTGGCCAACAAGGTGAAACCCAGTCTTTACTAAAAACACAAAAAGTAACCAGGCATGGTGGCAGGTGCCTGTAACTCCAGCTACTCGGGAGGCTGAGGCACAAGAATCACTGGAACCCAGGAGGCGGAGGTTGCAGTGAGCTCAGACAGTGCCACTGCACTCCAGCCTGGGCAATAGAGCGAGACTCAGTCTCAAAAAAATAAATAAATAAAATAAAACAATAAAACAATGGTAATGGGAGTCTCCTGTGGCCCCAAACAGTCTACAGTC
Organism: Homo sapiens; assembly: GCF_000001405.40. Taxonomy (NCBI): domain Eukaryota; kingdom Metazoa; phylum Chordata; class Mammalia; order Primates; family Hominidae; genus Homo; species Homo sapiens. Next base: position 381,167 of record NW_012132914.1, read on the forward strand.
TCAGTTCCCACAGTGAACTTGGCTGGGAGAGACTAAAGGGATATTTTTAATTAGACACCATTATGTTCACTTTCAAAAGAGTAATGAGGGGCCACACATGGAGGCTCACAGCTGTAATTCCAACACTTTGGCAAGCCAAGGCAGAACAATCACTTAAGCCCTGGAGTTGCTGACCAGCCTGGGCTACATAGTGAGACCCTGTCTCTCCAAAAAAATACAAAAAATAGATGGATGTGATGGCGCACACCTGTAGTCCCAGCTGCTCTGCAGGCTGAGGTGGAAGGATGGCTTGTGTCTGTGAAGCAGAAGTTACAGTGATCTGAGACTCTGCCACTGTACCCCTAGCCTGGGCAGAACAGCAAGACTCTGTCTTAATAAAATAAATAAATAAATAAAATATTACCCACTTTGGAATGGAGTCTAGAGAAACAAATGGATCCCACATTCAGAACAAAGACTCCATTCTTGAAAATGGTGTATGAGACCAGTCATGTTGGCTCATGCCTGTAATCCCAAGACTTTAGGAGGCAAAGTGGGAGGTTTGCTTGAATCTAGGTGTCCCAGACCAGCCTAGGTAACAAACCAAGACCTCATCACTATAAAAAATAATAATAATAGGCCTGGCACGGTGGCTCACACCTGTAATCTCAGCACTTTGTGAGACTGAGGCGGGCAGATCGCCTGAGTTTGGGAGTTTAAGACCAGCCTGGCCAACATAGTGAAACCCTATCTCTATTAAAAATACAAAAATTAGCCAGGTGTGGTGGCACACACCCACAGTCCCAGCTACTTGGGAGGCTGAAGCAGGAGAATCACTTGAACCCGGGAAGCAGAATTTGCAGTGAGCCAAGATCATGCCTCTGCACTCGAACCTGGGCAACAGAGTGAGACTCTCTCTCAAAAAAAAAAAAAAAAGAAAAAAACAAAATCAAAAAAATTAGCCAGTTATACTAGTGCATGCCTGAATTCCAGCTATTCAGAAGGCTAGAACTTCTGAGTAGGGAGGATGGCTTGAGCCCAGAAGGCAGAGGTTGCAGTGAGTCGAGATCACAATACTGCATTCCACCAAGAATGACGCAGGAAGACAATGTCTCAAAGAAAAAAAAAAAAAGACTTCAGTCAATTGCATTATTTTTCAACTGCTTGATTTGGAACTCTGAAGCTGGGCATGGTGGCTCACACCTATAATCCCAGCACTTTGAGAGGCCTAGGTGGGCAGATCACGAGGTCAGGTGTTCGAGACCAGCCTGGCCAACATGGTGAAACCCTGTCTCTACTAAAAATACAAAAATTAGCCGGGCATGGTGGTGGGCACCTGTAATCCCAGCTACTCAGGAGGCTGAGGCAGGAGAATTGCTTGAACTTAGGAGGCAGAGGTTGCAGTGAGCCGAGACCTCATCATTGCACTCCAGCCTGGGTGACAGAGCAAGACTCCATCTCAGAAAAAAAAAAAAAAAACATTTGAAATGACATAAACTAAACACAAATAAAATATTTGGAGTGAAGAGATAAAACTGCATTAGAGAAAAAATTAAAGCCTACATCTGTTCATCTGAAAAACAGGCAAGAAAATTCTCTGTGCCACCTTGGCCTTCATGTCGCCCTCTACTGGCTGACTGTGGGTCATAGGAGTGCCCTTGTGAAGGTACCTGACTTACCAGATCTGGACTCACTTTGCAGTCTGCTCGGACCTCTTGGAGAATCAAGCAATAACTCCAGGTACCACAGCTTGGGGTTTCTTCTGTGGATGTTCACAAGCTTTCTTGGACCTTTCTGTTTTTTTGAGATGGAGTTTTGCTCTTGTTGCCCAGTTTGGAGTAAAATGGCGTGATCTCGGCTCACCGCAACCTCCACCTCCTGGATTCAAGTGATTCTCCTGTCTCAGCCTCCAAAGTAGCCGGAATTACAGGCATGCGCCACCACACCTAGCTAATTTTGTATTTTTAGCAGAGATGGTGTTTCACCATATTGGCCAGGCTGGTCTTGGGAACTCCTGACCTCATGACCCACCCTCCCCCTCAGCCTCCCAAAGTGCTGGATTACAGGCATGAGCCACGGCTCCCAGCAACTTTCTTGGACTTTCCTAATCCCACCTCCTTTATCAACTTCCAGATTCCTATCAGAAAGTGATGCCTGATGGGATTTCTGAATTCCACCCAGTTAAGCCTGATTGAAGTTTTGGCTTTCTGCAGAATAATGGATTGAATCAGATATCCAATCATGAAACTGAAAGCACTGTAATTAGGGTGGAAGTCAAGAACTCATTTTGATGATTTTGATGTCACCAAAGAACTCCCAACCATAATATTTTCCGGTTTTGCTTTTCTGTCTAATCTCAGGAATAGGTTGAACCCTTCCCTGTCTTCCACTCAGGACTAGGAAGGTCACATATTACTACCACTCCATCTCTGCTTCTGGAGGGCATTAATGAGTGAATTCTTGACTTCCACCCTAACAAACACTGATGGAATTTACCAGTATGTGACCTTCTTTGTCCTGAGTGTGAGACAGGGAACTCTCACTCTGTTCCTGACATTAGAGAGAAAAACAAAACCTAAAAAGATTAATGTTGGGGAAATCTTTGGCCCCATCAAAATTATCAAAATGGGCCAGGCGCGGTAGCTCATGCCTGTAATCCCAGCACTTTGGGAGGCCCAGGCGGTGGATCACGAAGTCAGGAGATCGAGACCATCCTGGCCAACATGGTGAAACCTTGTCTCTACTAAAAATACAAAAATTAGCCGGGTGTGGTGGTGGGCGCCTGTAGTCCCAGCTACTCAGGAGGCTGAGGCAGGAGAATCACTTGAACCCAGGAGGCGGAGGTTGCAGTGAGCCAAGATCATGCCACTGCACTGCAGCCTAGGTGACAGAGAGAGACTCTGCCTCAAAAAGCAAAACAAAACAAAATTATAAAAGGTTTCAGCCAGGCACTGTGGCTCACACCTATAATCCCAGCACTTTGGGAGGCTGAGGCGGGTGGATCACGAGGTCAGGAGATCGAGATCATCCTGGCTAACACTGAAACCCTGTCTCCACCAAAAATACAAAAAATTAGCCAGGCATGGTGGTGGGTGCCTTTATTCCCAGCTACTCCAGAGGCTGAGGCAGGAGAATGGCAAGAACCTGGGAGGCGGAGCTTGCAGTGAGCCAAGATCGCACAACTGCACTCCAGCCTGGGTGACAGAGCAAGACTCAGTCTCAAGATAAATAAATAAATAAATAAAAATAAAAATATTTCAGAGTTTAAACTTTATAAGCCAGGTGCGGTGGCTCAAGCCTGTAATCCTGGCACTTTGAGAGGACAAGGTAGGCAGATCATGAGGTCAGCAGTTCGAGACCAGCCTGGCAAATACGGTGAAACCCCGTCTCTACTAAAAATACAATAATTAGCTGGGCATGGTGGGATGCACCTCTAGTCCCAGCTACTCAGGAGTCTGAGGCAGAAGAATCACTTGAACCCGGGAGGTGGAGGTGGCAGTGAGCCAAGATCATGCCACTGCACTACACCCTGGGTGACAGAGGGAGACACCATCTCAAAAAAAAAAAAAAAATCAGTGAAGCATGGTGGCACACACCTGTGGTCCCAGCTACTCTGGAGGCTGAAATGGGAAGATCCATTTTTTGATCCCCACGATGCAGAGGTTGCAGTGAGCCTAGATCAATCTATTGCCCTCTGGGCTGAGCGACAGAGCCTGTATCAAAAACAAAAACAAACAAAACAAAAAACAGCTTCATGAAGGCAGTGGTTTTATCCCTACAAAATTGAATTTAAATGTTCGTGTATATATTGGTCATTTGGGATTTAAGTTACCCATATGAGGAAATCGTATGCTCATTTGTGTGGAAGAGAGGTACCACTAAGGGTGTGATTGGTCTCAAGATTTTGTTCCAGGTTTCTCTGGAGGAAATCAGGTAACAATTACAAAGAGAAGTAAGGGTGGTGGCTGGGCTGGGCTGGGTTGGGCTTAGTGTTCCAATGGGACCTTGAGATTGAACCAAGGCATGGTCAATGTGTTGGGTTTTTGTGGGCATGAGGGAGACTCTTTCCAACATTGGCCAATGCCACCTTAACTGTGATCCTTATGGCCAAGGAGGATGCCTTCAGAACCACTTATGTAATCCTCCTTATTTTTCCTTTCAAAACCCTTGTCTTCCTTGACCTCCCTGAATAGTCTCACACCTATTCCCATTGCTTTGCTCATTTCATAAGAAAAAAATCCTTTTTTACTGAGTCTCTTTCTCTGTCTGTTAAGTACACCATATTTTTGTTGACACACAGATGAGTAACCCAGTTTTAGGGTGAGAAAGGGTCAAAGGATCCCATTCTCCACCAGTCGGAGGTAATGGGACGGTCATGGTTATTCTTCATCATAGCTACGTCTGCACATTGCCAGTGAAATCCTGCAGATCGGCCAGGCTTGGTGGCTCACACTTGTAATCCCAACACTTTAGGAGGCCAAGTCGGGAGAATCACCTAAGGCCAGGAGTTCAAGACCAGCCTGGCCAACATGGTGAAACCCCATCTCTACTAAAAAATATATACATATATATAAATTAGCCAGGTGTGTTGGGGCATGCCTGTAATCCCAGCTGCTTGGGAGGCTGAGGCAGGAGAATTGCTTGAACAAGGGAGGTGGACATTGCAGTGAGCCAAGACTGCACCATTGCACTCCACCCTGGGTGACAGAGTGAGACTCCATCTCAAAAAAGCAAAAACAAAAACAAAAACCTGCAAATCACAGTTGGCGGGCTTCCAAACCAACCATCTGGGGAAGGGCTTAGGATTCATGGCTTACATCCTGTCCCTGAGTAAATCATCTGATCATGAGCTTCTCAAACTCTTCAAGTACTGACAAAGGCTTCACCTTCTGACATTGAGAAGGACGCTGATTTGATTTTGATCATGAAGTTTAACTGTCTTGCACTTCAAGCATTTTGGCCTGTTCATTGTCAACCTTGGTCAATGATTGTAACCTCTGTGTTGTACCCATCACTGAAGGACAACTCAGCTATGAGGAGTCCCACTGCCTTCTACACTCTCTCATGAAAGCATTCCAACTTATAATAGACTTTGGAACACACCCACTTTGTTGCTGTATGTTCCTGGGTCAATTCTCACATTCAGCTTCCAATAAACTTGTATCAAATTATTTCTCCCTCAACAGCCTTAATTTCCATTGACACCAGATTGTGTGATTGTGGTTTAAATTGGGATAGAGGAGCAAGCATGGTGGTTAACACCAGTAATCCCAGCATTTGGAAAGCCAAAGTGGGCAGATTGTTGAGTCCAGGAGTTCAAGACCAGCCTGGGCAATGTGGCAAAACCTCATCTCTACAAAAAATACAAAAATTAGCTGGGCATGGTGGCATGCACCTGTACTCTCAGTGACTTGGGGGGCTGAGGTGGAAGGATCACTTGAGCCCAGGAGGCAGAGGTTGCAGTGAGCTGAGATCTGCCACTGCACTCCAGCCTGGGTGACAGAGTGAGAACCTGTCTTATAAATAAATGAATAAATAAATAAATAAATAAATAAATAAGGCTGGGCACAGTGGCTCACACCTGTAATCCCAGCACTTTGGGAGGTCGAGGTGGGTGGATCACCTGAGGTCGGGAGTTCAAGACCAGCCTGACCAACATGGAGAAACCCCATCTCTACTAAAAATACAAAATTAGCCGGGCGTGGTGGCACATGCCTGTAATCCCTGCTACTAGGGAGGCTGAGGCAGGAGAATCGCTTGAACCAGGGAGGCAGAGGTGTGGAGCTGAGATCACACCAATGCACTCCAGCCTGGGCAACAAGAGTGAAACTCCATCTCAAAAAAAATAAAATAAAATAAATACATAAATAAATAAATGTAGGAAGAAAAAGTATTTTAATGAATTAGATGAAGTAGCCATTGCATGCTATCTCCATTAAAGGATAAGTAGGTTCCTCTACAAAATGCCCTGATTATTGATGCATCTAATAAACCAAACTATTGGCCGGGCGCAGTGGCTCACGCCTGTAATCCCAACACTTTGGGAGGCCAAGGTGGATGGATCACTAGGGCTCAGGAGTTTCAGACCAGCCTGGCCAACATGGCAAAACCTCGTCTCTACTGAAAATACAAAAAATTAGCCAGGTGTGGTGGAGAGCACCTGTAATCCTAGCTACTTGGAGGCTGAGGCAGGAGAACTGCTTGAACCCAGGAGGCAGAGGTTCCAGTGAGCCAAGATCATGCCATTGCTCTCCAGCCTGGGCAACAGAGTGAGACTCTGTCTCAAAAAAACAAAAACAACACAAACAAACAAAAGAAGCTATTATTTATTTCATATAGTAGAACTGTAGAGACAATCCCTTTGCCTCTCATGTTTCCATTAAACCAATGTCTAGTTTTTTAGTTTTTTGTTTTTTGGGTTTTTTATTGAGACGGAGTCTTGTTATGTTACCCTGGCTGGAGTGCAATGGCACCATCTCAGCTCACTGCAACCTCTGTTTCCCAGGTTCCAGCGATTCTCCTGCCTCAGCCTCCCAAGTAGCTGGAATAACAGGCACTCGCCATAATGCCCAGCTGATTTTTTTGTATTTTTTGTAGAGACGGAGTTTCACCACGTTGGCCAGGCTGGTCTTGAACTCCTGACCTCAGGTGATCTGCCTGCTTCGGCCTCCCAAAATGCTGGGATAACAGATGAGAGCCACTGTGCCCGGCCACCAATGTCTGGTTTTAGTAAGACGTTGATTACGTAGTAGAGGGTAACATGATCATGCTCATGTATTGTTTCGTTTTGTTTTGTTGTTTTGTTTTGTTTTGTTTTGCTTTGTTTTGTTTTGCTTTGATTGAGACAGAGTCTCACTCTGTTGCCCAGGCTGGAGTGTAGTGTTGCCATCTCGGCTCACTGCAACCTCTACCTGCTGGGTTCAAGCGATTTTCCTGGCTCAGCCTCCCAATTAGCTGGGATTACAGGGGCCTGCCACTACACCCAGCTAATTTTTCTTGTACTTTTAGTAGAGATGGGGTTTCACCATGTTGACCAGGCTGGTCTTGAACTCCTGATCTCAAGTGATCTGCCCTCTTCAGCCTCCTAAAGTGCTGGGATTACAGGCATGAACTACTACCTCTGACTGTTGTTTTGTTTGTTTGTTTTTGTTTTTGTTTTTGTTTTATTTTGTTTTGTTTTTTGAGATAAGGTCTTCTTCACTCTGTTGCCGAGGCTAGAGTTCAGTGGCATAATCATAGCTCATAGCAGCCTTGAACTCCTGGACTCAAGTGATCCTTCTGCTGCAGCCTCCTAAGTAGTGGTCATGTTCTAATTTTATATCTATTTCCCTTACACATTGGCTTCCAATCTCCATAATGTGTGTCAAACCAAAGAGTCTGATTACAGAGGGAGTCTGGAACACTGCCTAGATCAACCCAGTTGCACTAAGGTTTTCTATGCACAGAAATAAATTTCCAGGCCCTGCTTGGTGGCTCACACCTGTTATCCCAGAACTTTTGGAGGCCGAGTCAGGCAGATTGCTTAAGCCCAGAGGCCAGGAGTTAGTGACCAGCCAGGGCAGCATGGTGAAACCCTGTCTCTACAAAAAAATAAAAAAACACAAAACCTAACCAGGTGTGGTGGCACACACCTGTAATCCTAGCTATTTAGGAGATTGATTTGGAGGATTGATTGAGACTGGCAGGTCAAGGCTGCAATAAGCCGTGATCGTGCCACTTCACTCCAGCCTGGGTTGCAAAACAAGACCCTGTCTCGAAAAAGGAAAACAAAAACAAAGATTAAAAAAAAAATGTTTACATAGCCAGCAATTGATTTGCTTAGTGAAAGAAGCTAAACTTTGAACAGTAGAACTTTGAGAATGTTCAGTTTGAGGCCAGGCACGGTAGCTTACACCTGTAATCCCAGCACTTTGGAAGGCCAAGGTGGGAGGATCACTTGAGGTACGGAGTTCGAGGCCAGCCTGGCCAACTTGGTGAAACCCCGTCTCTACTAAAAATACAAAAATTAGCCCGGCATGGTGGTGTAAACCAGTAGTTACAGCTACTTGGACGGCTGAGGCAGGAGAATCGCTTGAACCCGGGAGGCAGAGGTTGCAGTGAGCAGAGATGGTGCCACTGCACTCCAGCCTGGTGACAGAGGGAGACTTTATCTCATTTTTTTTTTTTTTTTTGAGACGGAGTCTCGCTCTGCTGCCCAGGCTGGAGTGCAGTGGCGCAATCTCGGCTCACTGCAAGCTCCGCCTCCCAGGTTCACGCCATTCTCCTGCCTCAGCCTCCCAAGTAGCTGGGACTACAGGCGCCCGCCACCACGCCCGGCTAATTTTTTGTATTTTTAGTAGAGGCGGGGTTTCACTGTGTTAGCCAGGATGGTCTCGATCTCCTGACCTCATGATCCACCTGCCTCTGCCTCCCAAAGTGCTGGGATTACAGGCGTGAGCCACCGCGCCCGGCCGGGGGACTCTATCTCAAAAAAAAAAAAAAAAAATTCAGTAGTAAAACTTTTGGTTAGCAGGGCACGGCTGCTCACGCCTGTAATCCCAGCACTTTGGGAGGCCGAGGCGGGCAGATCATGAGGTCAGGAGATCGACACCATCCTGGCTAACATGGTGAAACCGCATCTCTACTAAAAATAGAAAAAAAATTAGCCAGGCGTGGTGGCAGGTGCCTGTAGTCCCAGCTACTCAGGAGGCTGAGGCGGGAGAATGGCATGAACCCAGGAGGCAGAGCTTGCAGTGAGCCAAGATCATGCCACTGCACTCCAGCCTCGGTGACAGAGCAAGACTCCGTCTCAAAAATAAAAAACAAAAAAAAACTTTCGGTTAGTGTAATCTAGTCTTCCCTGTAGATGTAGCTAATTTTATTTTATTTTTATTATTATTTTTATTGAGACAGAGTCTTCCTCTGTCTGCCAGACCGGAGTACAATGGTGCGATCTCGGCTCACTGCAACCTCTGCCTCCTGGGTTCAAGTGATTCTCCTGCCTCAACCTCCCTAGTAGCTGGGAATACAGGCATGCACCACCATGCCCAGCTTCTTTTTGTACCTTTAGAAAAGAAGGGGTTTCACCGTGTTGGCCAGGCTGGTCTCGAACTCTTGACAAGTGATCCACCCGCCTCGGCCTCCCAAAGTGCTGGGATTACAGATGTGAGCCACCGTGCCCAGCCTGATTTAGCTAATTTTAGTTTCAAGATACCATTTGTTCATTCAACCTTTGTAGAAGGCTGAGAAAAACAAGGGCAATGGTAGTGCCACTAAATTTGTAAAATCTTCTTTAAGTGTTTGATAACCTGTCCAGTAAAGTGTGTTCCTGAGACAGGATTGTTCCCTTGACTTTGACCTTCTTCATGGGCAGGAACTAGAGTGGTTTGTTTCACTCCGGCTGCAGTCTGTGGATGGCTGAGTGTGAACAGCTCAGTGTATGGTCAGAGTGACAGCTTCCCGCACCTGCCCTTTTTGACACTCAAGTTCTTATTCGGTGTAAAGGAAGAACCAGGTCACATTAGCTATTTAAAGAGTAGCATAAGTGAAGGATTTTATTGGGTGATAAATGTGGCTCTCAGTGGAAAGGGGAGTTAGAAAGGGGATGGTGCTGCCAGGCGCAGTGGCTCAAGCCTGTAATCCCAGCACTTTGGAAGGCTGTGGGAGGCTGAGGCAGATGGATCACCTGAGGTCAGGAGCTCGAGACCAGCCTGGCCAACATGGTGAAACCCCATCTCAAATAAAAATGCAAAAAAATTAGCTGGGCGTGGTGGCGGGTGACTGTAATCCCAGCTACTTGGGAGGCTGAGGCAGGAGAATCTCTTAAGCCCAGGAGGCAGAGCTTGCAGTGAGCAGTGAGCTGAGATCACGCCACTGCACTCCAGCCTGGGCAACAGAGTGAGACTCCGTCTCAAAAAAAAAAAAAAAAAGAAAGGGGATGGTGCAGCAAGAAGGTGATCTTCCCCTGAAGCCACACCATCTGAAGTTAGCTGCATCTCTCTGTAGGCTTTAATGCTCATCTGCTTGTATCCCCAACGTTCAGCCACTTGTATTCCGATGCTCAGCATCTTGCATCCCCAACCACTTGCAGCAGCCGCTTGTGTTGCTCTGCCAGCTGGTCTTTTTATGGGCCCAGGATAGGGTGTGAGGAAGGCCAAAAGGGCAATCATTTGGGCAGAAAAATGGGGTTAGCTGTTTTCACTTAGGGCCGAGTTTCCAGGATTGAGGGTGGGTTTAGTTGGGAGCCCAGCTGTTCTGAATCATTTCCTTATTGCTGGCCAACAAGGTAAAACCCTGTCTCTACCGAAAATTAGCTGGGTGTGGTGGGGGATGCCTGTAGTTCCAGCTACTTGGGAGGCTGAGGCAGGAGATTCCTTGAACCCAGGAAGCAGAGGTTGCAGTGAGCTGAGATCGTGCCACTGCACTCCAGCCTGGTGACAGAGCAAGACTCCGTATCCAAAAAAAGAAGAATGGGCACACAGATGCCTCAACATTTGGCAACTGAGGGACTTTTCCTCCTGGGTCATTATCCATCCATTCCAATTATGGAAAAATTCCTGCTTTCTAGAGCATTAAAGGAGAATCACCAAGAGGATATCAAGACAGGTGGTGATAAAGCCTTTTGGGTATAGTTGTTCTCACTATTGGGTTTATGCAAATGGAGATATGATAAAGACTTTTTTGGCCACTTTAGGACAGATTACAAAAGAAACCACAAAAAAATGCTGTGGGACACAGAAGTCTCTAAATTCCTTACCTTAAGTGGTTTCAGGGAAATGTTTATGTTTATAGCTAATTGCTACAAGTCTAACTAAAACCAAGGTTGCAGTAGCTCAATGCATAGAACTTATAGATAAGTCCATTTTTGTAAGCTTGCTTTTTGGCTTTGGTTTTAGGCTTATGTTGCCTAAAAGGTTTTAAGTGTTGATGCATGCCTGCCCACCGCCACGCTCATCTGGCCTAGGATGCTTTAATTGGCTGTAAGTCTTTTGGCTCTGAATCTCACGTCCATAGGAGTCCCACCTAGGGGCTGGGTGGACCAAGGCAGGTAGCTCCGCCACCCTGTCATCCACATGAGACAAATTAAAACTTTGGCCATTGATGCTGCTTCTGGCATATCCTGATGAACAGGGGGGAAAATGAGAAATAACAGTGAATTTCTAAGCCCCCTAACTGAAGAAACAGACCCCCTGTTGGTCAAGAGGAAACCCCAGTTATCCTTGAAAACTGAGTTCTCAAGGAGAACGAGATGTTGGGCGGGGGGGGTCCACAAGCTTCACTATACCCCCTCCCTTGCTAACCACCATTAGCCTTTCTTCCTTAAGGGTCAAACAGAAACCAGCTCTTTAAGAATCTACCACTCATAGCAACCAACTGCCTGATGCTGCTTCTCCTGTCAGAGTGGCCATCCGACACTTGGCCACTCTTTTTTTTTTTTTTTTTTTTTTTTTTGACACGGAGTCTCCTTCTGTCGCCCAGGCTGGAGTGCAGTGGCGCCATCTCGGCTCACTGCAACCTCTGCTTCCCAGGTTCAAGTCATTCTCCTGCCTCAACCTCCCAAGTAGCTGGGATTACAGGCGTGGGCCACCATGCCCAGTTGATTTTTGTATTTTTAGTAGGGACAGGGTTTCAACATGTTGGCCAGGCTGGTCTCGATCTCCTGACATCAGGGTATCCACTCACTGGGATCAGGTGCTGGAATTCCAGCTGTGAGCCACCTTGCCTGGCCATGGCCACCTTTTATGAAAAATAAAGCTCTCCCTTCCAAACTTAAAATAAATAAGTAGTAAAATAAATGATACATACCAACAGAACACTGTATATAGTAAATACACACATATAATATGTATGCAGTTGAAAAATATAATAGTAATGTTGACAAAAAGAGTCAAACTCTGTAATATATGTGAAGAGATTTATTCTGAGCCAAATATGAATGACCATGGCCCATGACACAGCCCTCAAGAGGTCTGGAGAGGCTGGGCGCAGTGGCTCATGCCTGTAATCCCAGCACTTTGGGAGGCCGAGGCAGGCGGATCACGAGGTCAGGAGATCGAGACCATCCTGGCTAAAATGGTGAAACCCTGTCTCTACTAAAAATACAAAAAAAAATTAGGTGGGCATGGTGGTGGGCGCCTGTAGTCCCAGCTACTCGGGAGGCTGAGGCAGGAGAATGGCGTGAACCCGGGAGGCAGAGCTTGCATTGAGCCGAGATCGTGCCACTGCACTCCAGCCTGGGTGACAGAGCAAGACTCCATCTCAAAAAAAAAAAAAAAAAAAGAGGTCTGGAGAACACGTGCCCAGGGTTGTTTGGGGCGCAGGTTGGTTTTATACAGTTTAGGGGTACATGAAACATCAATTAAATACATCTAAGAAATATATGGCCAGTCCCCCTGGTTCTGTGGCTCACGCCTGTAATCCCAGCACTTTCAGAGGTTGAGGTGGGTGGATCATTTGAGGTCAGGAGTTCGAGACCAGCCTGGCCAACATGCTGAAACCCCATCTCTACTAAAAATACAAAAATTAGCCTGTCACGGTGCTACACACCTTTAATCCCAGCTACTCAGGAGGCTGAGGCAGAAGAATTGCTTGAATCTGGGAGGTGGAGTTTGCAGGGAGCTGAGATCACACCACTGCATCCCAGACTGGGTGACAGAGCCAGAATCCATCTCAAAAAAAAAAAAAAAAAAGAAAGAAAGAAAAAAGAAATACATGGCTGGGTGAGTGGTGGCTCACGCCTGTAATCCCAGCACTTTAGGAGGCCGAGGCGGGTGGATCATCTGAGGTCAGGAGTTAGAGACCAGCCTGGCCAACATAGTGAAACCCCGTCTAATTTTTGTAAAAATACAAAAATTAGCCAGGTGTGATGGTGTGTGCCTGTATTCCCAGCTACTCGGGAGGCTGAGACAGGAGAATTACTTGAACCTGGGAGACAGGGATCGCAGTAAGCCAAGAGCAAACCACCGCATTTCAGCCTGGGTGACAGAGTGAGAATCTGTGTGAAAGAAAGAAAGAGAGAGGGAGAGAGGGAGGGAGGGGGAGAGAGAGAGAGAGAGAAGAAAAGAAAAGAGAAGAGAAGAAAAGAAAAGAAAAGAAAAGAAAAGAAAAGAAAAGAAAAGAAAAGAAAAGAAAAGAAAAGAATTACATTGGTTTGGCTCAGAAAGGAGAGACAACTGAAGGGTCGGGGGCTTCCAGGCTATAGGTAAATTTAAACATTTTCTGGTTGACAATTGGTTGAGTTTGTCTAAAGACCTGGGATCCATAGAAAGGAAATGGTCAGGGTGAAATAAAAGATTGTGGAGACCGAGGTTCTTTTGAAATCTCATAGTGGCCACCCTTCGAGACAACAGATGACAGATGTTTGCTATTCAGACCCTTAAAATTACCAGACAGTCCATCTCTTCAGGACTGGGAGGGCCTGCAAGAAAAAGATCTAGCTGTGTTAATAGAGATTCTTTACAGATGCAGATTTTCCCCCATAAAGGACAGCTTTGCAGGGCCATTTCAAGATATGGCAAAGAAACATGCCTTGGGGCAAAATATCTTGACTTTCTCCTCTGTCACAGGATGTTATGCCAGAGTCAGATTGGAAAGTAAGTCACCATATACAGGGCTAAAAAAACTCATCTGATGGGAATTTATGATTTTGGGGCATGACTCTGTAGACTCCTTAGGAATTTGGGCAAGATAAAAAATTCAGACCTTAGTCCTCAGTAAAATGAAGGCATATGTACCTTCCACCCACTTTAGGGCCACCTGTCTCTCCACTCTTCTCCTTCCAATCCCATCCACCTATGTGTCTTCCAACAATTTATAAAAGTGACCAAAGGGACAATGAAAATGGTTTTAACATTTGAATATCAACCAAACATGCATGATTGGGCCACGTGCAGTGGCTCACGCCTGCACTCCCAACAACTTTGGGAGGCCGAGGTGGGCAGATCACCAGAGATTACAAGTTCAAGACCAGCCTGGGCAACATGGGAAACGCTGTCTCTAGTAAAAATACAAAAATTAGCCAGGCGTGATGGTGCACATTTGTAATCCCAGCCACTCAGGAGGCTGAGGCAGGAGAATTGCTTGAACTCAGAAGATGGAGGTTGCAGTGAGCCGAGATCACGCCACTGCACTCCAGCCAGGACCACAGAGCGAGACTCTGTCTCCCCCCCAAAAAAAAAAAAAAAAAATTCAACAAACGTATTTAAACAAATAAATAGAATAAAAGCACCAGAAAATGATCATCTTAATTGATGTACGAAAAACATTTGAAAAAATTCAATGACTCATTCAGGATTTTAAAAATATTCTCAGCAAAATAAGAAAATAATTCCTCAATATGAATTGCTCAATGGGATTACAGGCACACACCATCCACCTTATCAGTCAGTCCCTTAGTAAATTCCATCAGTGTTTGTTAGGATTAGGGTGGAAGTCAAGAATTCATTCATTAATGCCCTCCACAGAGAATGAATTGTACTAATATGTGACCTTCCTTCCTATTTTTGAGTTTGAGACAGGGAAGGGTTCAATCTGCTCCTGAGATTAGACACAAAAACAAAACCTGAAAGCTTTATGGTTCAGAGAACTTTGGCTGGATCAACGTTATCAAAATGAATTCTTGACCTGCATTCTAATCCCAACACTTTCAATTTCATGATTGGATATCCAAGGGATTGAATGGACACCTGAATTCACAGGCTTAACTGGGTGGAGCTTCAGAAATCCAATCAGGCATCACTCTCTGATGGGAAGCTGGTGGTTGAAAAGGGGAGGTGTGATGAGAAAGGTTCAAGAAAGCTTGTGAGCACCCCCAGAAGAGACCCAGAGCTGTGGTGCCTGGAGTTACTTCTTGGTTCTCCACAAGATCCGAGCACACTGCAAAGTGAGTCCAGATCTGATAAGTCAGGGACCTCCACAAAGGGCACTCCTATGACCCACAGTCAGACAGTCAGGATGACGACACGGAGGTCAAGACGACACAGAGAATTCTCCTGTCTGTTTTTCAGATGAAAAGATGTAGGCTTTGATTTTTCCTCTAATATACTTTTATCTACACTCCAAATATATATCTACATATATATTTTTGTTTGTTTGTTTGTTATGAGACAGAGCCTCACTCCGTTGCCTGGGCTGGAATGCAGTGGCACGATCTCGGCTCATTGCAACTTCCACCTCCTGAGTTCAAGCAATTCTCCTGCCTCAGCCTCCCGAGTAGCTGGGACTACAGGCGCCCACCACCACGCCTGGCTAATTTTTTTTGTATTTTTAGAGAGACAGGGTTTCACCATGTTGGCCAGGCTGGTCTTGAACTCCTGACCTCGTGGTTCACCTGCCTCAGCCTCCCAAAGTGCTGAGATTACAGGCATGAACCACCACGCCCAGCCACTCTCCAAATATTTTATTTCTGTTTTAGTTTATGCCATCTCAAAGTTCTCTTTTATTTTATTTTTTTGAGACAAACTTGCTCTGTCACCCAGGCTGGAGTGCAGTGGTGCGATCCTGGTTCACTGCAACCTCCGCCTCCCGGATCAAGTGATTCTCCTGCCTCAGCCTCCCTACTATCTGGAATGACAGGCGCCCACCACTATGCCTGACTAAATTTTGTATTTTTTTTTTCCCATATTGCTTCAGGGCTTGATAAGCTTCTTTTTTTTTTTTTTTTTTTTTTTTTTTGAGACGGAGCGTCACTCTTGCGCTGGCTGCAGGGCAATGGCACTTTCATGCGCGTCCTTGTTAAGAGACCACCAAACAGGCTTTGCGTGAGCAATACGGCTGTTTATTTCACCTGGGTGCAGGCGGGCTGAGTCCGACAAGAGAGTCAGTGAAGGGAGATAGGGTTGGGGCCATTTTATAGGATTTGGGAAGGTAATGGAAAATTACAGTCAAAGGGGGTTGTTCTCTGGTGGGCAGGGGTGGATCTCACAAAGTACATTCTCAAGGGTGGGGAGAATTACAAAGAACCTTCTTAAGGGTGGGGGAGACTACAAAGTACCTTCTTAAGGGTGGGGGAGATTACAAAGTACATTGATCAGTTAGGGTGGGGCAGGAACAAATCACAATGGTGGAATGTCATCAGTTAAGGCTGTTTTTACTTCTTTTGTGGATCTTCAGTTACTTCAGGCCATCTGGATGTATACGTGCAAGTCACAGGGGATGCGATGGGTTGGCTTGGGCTCAGAGACCTGACAGGCACAATCTCGGCTCACTGCAACCTCCACCTCCCAGGTTCAAGTGATTCTCCTACCTCAGCCTCCCGAGTACTAGGATTATAGGCAACCACCATCACACCTGGCTAATTTTTGTATTTTTAGTAGAGATGGGATTTCACCATGTTGGCCAGGCTTGTCTCAAACTCCTGACTTCGTGATCCGCCCGCCTCGGCCTCCCAAAGTGCTGGGATTACAGGTGTGAGCCACCGTGCCCAGCCCTGATTTTGTATTTTTAGTAGAGGTAAGTTTTCACCATGTTGGCCAGGCTGGTCTTGAACTCCTGACCTCTCAAGTGATTAACCTGCCTTGGCCTCCCAAAGTGCTGGGATAATAGGCATGAGCTACTGGGCCCTGCCACATTTCAAAGTTCTTTTTTTTTTTTTCTCCAAGAAGGAGTCTCACTCTGTCGCCCACGTTGGAGTGCAGTGTCGCGATCTCAGCTCACTGCAACCTCCGCCTCCCGGCTTCAAGCAATTCTCCCGCCTCAGCCTCCCAAGTAGCTGGGATTACAAGGCACCTGCCACCATGCGCAGCTAATTTTTGTATTTTTAGTAGAGATGAGATTTTGCCATGTTGGCCACACTGCTCTCAAACTCCTCACCTCACTGCAACCTCTGCCCCCCACGCTCAACGGATCCTCCCTCCTCAGCCTTCCAAGTAGCTGAGACTCCCGTGATGGCTCACACCTGTAATTCCAGCAACCTTGAAAGGCCAAGGCAGCCAGATCACATGAGGCCAACTCCATCTCTACTTAAAATGCAAACATTAGCCGGGCATGGTGGTGCACACCTGGGTGACCCAGCAAGACTCTGCCTTAAAAAGGAAAAAAAAATGTATTTGTGCTTTGTTTTATGTCATTCCAAAATTCTTAACCAAAGAACTAAAAAAGAATCCAACTGGGCCAGGGACAGCAGCTCATGCCTGTAATCCCAGCACTTTGGGAGACCAAGGTGGGTGCATCACCTGAGGTCAGGAATTTGAGACCAGGCTGACCAACACAGTGAAACGCCTTCTCTACTGAAAATACAAAAATTAACTGGGCATGGTGGCACATGTCTGTAATCCAAGCTACTGAGGAGGCTGAGGCAGGTGAATTGCTTCAGCCCGCGAGGTGGAGGTTGCAGTGAGCCGAGATCATGCCATTGCACTCCAGCCTGGGCAATAGACTCCGTCTCAATTAAAAAAAAAAAAGAATCCAATTAATTAATGTCTGATTCCTTGACATTTAAAATTTGTAGATTGTGTGCTCTTAATTTGCAGTTTATAGACTATGTTATTATGATTTTAATTTCTTGAGACAAAGTCTCACTCTGTCACCCAGCTGTACTGCAGTGGTGTGATAATTGCCTCAGTGCAACCTCTGTCTCCTGTATTCAAGGGATCTTCTCACCTCAGCCTTCCCAGTAGCTGGGATTACAGACCCACACCATGAGGCCTGGCTAATTGTATTTTTAGTAGAGATGGGGTTGTACCATATTGCCCAGGCTGGTCTGGAACCCCTGGACTCCATGTAATCTGCCAGCCCTTAGCCTCCCAAAGTGCTGGGATTACAGGCAAGAGTCACCCCACCCAAGAATGCTATTGTGATTTTGAAAGATAGGCTTTGTTTTTTACTAAAATTATAAAGATATTCCTTCCACTATGTTCTATTAAATTTTTTTATAATGATGGGGTCTCGCTTTGTTAGCCAGGCTGGTCTGGAACACCTGGACTCAAGCAAACCCCCCACCTTGTCTCCTAAAGTCTTGGGATTACAGGCATGAGCCACCATGTCTGGCCCCATACACTATTTTCAAGAGTAGAGTCTTTGTTTTGAATGTAGGATCCATTTCTTCCCCTAGACTCAATCCCAAAGTGTGTTGTTATTATTATTATTATTATTATTATTATTATTATTATTATTATTACTTGAGACAGGGTCTTTCTCTGTTGCCCAGGCTGGAGTGTGGTGGCAAAATCTCAGATAACTGAAACCTCTGCTTCCCAGGCTCAAGCCATCCTCCCACCTCCATGTGCAGAGTAGCTGAGACTATAGGCATGTGCCACAATGCTCAGATAATTACTTAATATTCTAGTAGAGTCTAGTAGACATGGGCTATCACTATGTTGCCCTGGCTGGTCTGGAACTCCTGGGCTCAAGTGATTGTTCTGCCTTGGCTTCCCAAAGTGTTGGGATTACAGCTGTAAGCCGCCATGCTTGGCTTCCCTTTACTTTTTTTTTTTTTTTTTTTTTTTTTGAGACAGAGTCTCACTCTGCCACCCAGGCTGGAATGCAGTGGCTAGATTTTGGCTCACTGCAAACTCTGGACCTCGGGTTGAGAGATTCTCCTGCCTCAGCTTCCCAAGTAGCTGGGATTACAGGCAGGGACCACCACACCCAGCTAATATTTTGTATCGGTACAGATGGTATTTCACCATGTTGGCCGGGCTGGTCTCGATCTCCTGACCTCATGATCCGCCCACCTTGGGCTCCTAAAGTGCTGGGATTACAGGCATGAGCCACCGTGCCTGGCCAAGAAGACATTTTGTTTTCTCAAAAAAGTGGAGATCTGAGCTTCAAAGATCCTTGCTAACACTTCCCAGTGCTATCAGTGTAGTAGTGCAGTGGCTAATAATTCATGGACCCTATAGGAGGGATCTTGCCTGCTCTTTAGAGGTTGGGACACACTCTTCTTAGTACCAGAAGGGCAGAACTATGCCTCTGTGGCCACTTATTGCAGAATGGAATTGGAGTAAACTGAGGGCTCTTTCACACATGCTAGAGAAATGACTTTGGCCCTAGGAGAAGCGGGGATTGCAGGGGATTGGCCTGAGAAACTTGCCTTTTCACTGGATTGTCCTCTAGAGTTTTTCCTTGCAGATTTGTCAGAATGAGCCTCCAGTCCCCATCCAGACTCCTGGAGCTGGCAGGGCAGAGCCTACTGAGGAACCAGTTCTTGACCATCTTCATCCTGGACGAGCTGCCCAGGGAGGTCTTCCCTCTGATGTTCATGGAGGCCGTCAGCAGGAGACGCTGTGAGGCCCTGAAGCTGATGGTGCAGGCCTGGTCCTTCCTCCACCTCCCTCTGGGATCCCTGATGAAGACACCTCATCTGGAGACCTTGCAAGCTGTGCTGAAGGGACTTGATACACTGCTGGCCCAGAAGGTTTGCCTCAGGTGAGGTGACTCAGGTGGCCTGGTGGGAAGGGTCCAGGCATCCAGGGAAGGGACAGCTGGCTCAGGAGGAGTGGTGGGGTTGGGGAGCTAGGGTGGCTCAGAGGCTTCTGATGGTGCCCATGAGAGGCCTTGACCATTGCCCAGATCCTCTGGGAAAGGACTGCTCACCATACAGGGTCCACTGAGGAAACAGGAACCTGCTTTCTCCCAGTGGAACGTAAAGATTCTAGAAGTGAGAACCAGGCAGAACCCAAGGGGGAGCGGGATGGAGAAGAGACAGAAGGAGGAGCACTGAGGACAGGAGCAGCTGACTGATGTCCTGGATGTGGAGTGAAAGCTCAGGTCAGGGGTGGGTCCTTGCCTACATTCTGAGCTTTTCCCCTGTGTTACTCACAGGAGGTGGAAACTTCAAGTGCTGGATTTGCGGGATGTTGATGGGAATTTCTGGACCATATGGTCTGGAGCCAAGGTCCTCTCCTGCTCCCCAGAGGCCATGAGTAAAAGGCAGACAGTGGAGGACTGTCCAAGGATGGGAGAGTGCCAGCCCTTGAAGGTGTTCATAGACCGCTGCCTAAAGAAAAGTACACTGGATGAATGCCTGAGCTACCTTTGTGGGTAGATCCACTACAGAAGAGGTCTAGTGCACCTGTGCTGTAATAAGGTGCAGAATTACTCAATGCCCACTTCAAGTTTCAGAAATTTATTGAAAAGGGTATACCCAGACAGTATCTAGCAGTTGGAAGTTAGGAGAAAGTGCTCTCTGAATAAAACAGGAAAGTTTGCCCCTTACCTGAGCCAGATGAGCAATCTTCGCAAACTCTTTTTAGCCTTCGGTTATGACAGTGAGTTATATGTAAGCGGCCAACAATAGTTCGTTCCTGACTTGGACTGTCCATTCCTCTGCCTGTCCTACCCTCAGATGCTTTATATAAGAAAGGTCAATAATATCAAAGACCTGGAGCACCTGCTCAGGTAAGAAAGGATGGTGAGCTTTCTCTGCGGACCATACCACAGACTTTTGTTCTTTTTCACAGTAAACGCTAGTGGGCATCTACTGTGTGCCAGCCACTGGTGATGTCACAGGGAATGGGACGCTAGAATGTCAACTCATTATGCTGTTCAGTGCTCTATATCCTGAAGTGGGTATCACAAACCCGCTCAAATAAGGGCAGAGGGATGGCCCGGGCCAGATGCTACAGAGAGAGACATGCAGGGATCTAGTTAGTCAGGGGTTCAGATCTAGGGAGGGTGCATTTGTGAATTCCTTTTTAGGAAGTGCGTTTGAAGTTAATATGATGAAACTTACTCTTCATATAGAGGAGAGTATGAAAGAAGGGAAAGTGCATCAAACCTGTGCGTTTCACAGTAGAAGCTCCGTCCTCACAGCTTAGTAAACACCAATGATCCTGCCTCTAATTCTCTGTCTGTAAAAGGTTCTTTTGAACCCCAGGAAAAGTAGTTGACATGAGAAAAGCATGCTTCTTGGACAGAGGTGAGGGAGTAGGCAGGAGAGTGGTATAAAGTGATAGGTGGTTTGCAGACGCGGGCACGTCAGGGAACCTTTGCAGGCAGGTGGCCCTAGCTGATGTCCCTAGACCTTGCTCAGTTGAGTTCTTTGTGCACATCTCCCACTGGGCTCCTCTGGCCCAGAGATGAGGTTGTCTGCTGAAAGATGCAGTAAAGAGGCTTTAAAGATTTTGTGGCCTTGAACCAATCACACAAGCAAGGCTGAAAGGACTGAGCCTAAAATGGAGCTGCCCCTGAATGATCTGAGTCTTCATCAGGCAGCACCTTGCACACAGACCATCATCTGATGATGGGAACAAACTTGTGTTTGGGTGAAACAGGCTTCCCCATTGCAGTTACTATAACACCTGTGTGGTAGTAAGGTGCAGAATTACTCAATGCCCACTTCAAGTTTACCATTGAGATGATTTCCCACCCCTCTCCTCTAACTGGCACCATTGCCCATAACTAATTTCTTGCTCTCCCCAGGTGCCTCAAGAACCTCTTGGGGGCCTTTATATTCTGTCATGCTTACCTAGCTGATCGGGACATGGAGTGTCTGTCTCAGTACCCAAGCCTCAGTCAGCTAAAGGAGCTGCATCTGATTCATATCCTAATGTGGACCACCAATCTTGAGCCCCTTGGAGCTCTGCTAGAGAAAGTTGCTGCTACTCTTGAGACCCTCACGTTAAAGGACTGTCAGATCCAGGACTCCCAACTCAGGGTCCTCCTGCCTGCCCTGAGCCACTGCTCCCAGCTCACCACCTTCTACTTTCAAGGAAACGAGACTTCCATGAATGCTCTGAAAGACCTTCTGTGTCACACAGGTGGGCTGAGCAAGTTAGGCCTGGAGTTGTATCCTTCCCGTCTGGAGAGTCTTGACAACAGGGGTCATGCCAATTGGGAGATCCTTGCCCCAATTCGGGCTGAGCTGATGTGTACACTCAGGGAAGTCAGGCAGCCCAAGAGGATCTTTTTTGGTCCCGTCCCCTGCCCTTCCTGTGGCTCATGGCCATCTGAGAAAGTGGACCTCCATCTTTGCTCTTAGGGAAGGCCTGGCTAGTGGGATGGACACGTTTTCTTCTGGACCCTTGGGCACTAAAATCTAGGACACAGGTGCTTTTTTTTTTTGATGGAGTCTCACTCTGTCCCTCAGGCTGAAGTGCACTGGCACAATCTCAGCTCACTGCAACTTCCACCTCCCAGGTTCAAGTGATTCTCCTGCCTCAGCCTCCCTAGTAGCTGGTGTTACTGGCATGCACCACCACATCCAGCTAATTTTGTATTTTTTTTCTTTTTTTTTTGAGACAGAGTCTCGCTCTGTCACCCAGGCTGGAGTGCACTGGCACGATTTCGGCTCACTGCAACCTCCGCCTCCAGGGTTCACGCCATTCTCCTGCCTCAGCCTCCAGAGTAGCTGGGACTACAGGTGCCCACCACCACACCCAGCTAATTTTTGGTATTTTTAGTAGAGTCAGGGTTTCACCAAGTTAGCCAAGATGGTCTCGATCTCCTGACCTCGTGATCCACCCGCCTCGGCCTCCCAAAGTGTAATTTTTGTATTTTTAGTAGAGACAGGGTTTCACGATGTTGGAGGAGGCTGGCCTCAAACTCCTGACCTCAAGTGATCTGACTACCTTGGACTTCCACAGTGCCGGGTTTACAGGCATGAGCAGCCTGGCCCGGTCAGGTGCATCTTAAAGGAAGCACACGGTCATGTGTTTCAGGCACGTGCTGACTGTGAGTGGAAAAACAAAGGTGACTCAGCTGGGGGCAGGACTTGGTGAAAATGCTGACTTGGCATCAATAAAGCCTTCAGGGACCTGTTTCCTAGACTCGGAAATGGAACCTGAAGTTCTAGAATGATGCAGGAGTTACCCTCGCAAGGATGGTTATTTAAAAATGTCAAAAATAAATGGAACCTGAATGGAAACTTTCTGGTGTCTTCCATGATTGATCAACCTGTTTTAGCCATTTATATATCAGAAATCTCTAGTTACTGATGAGAGGTACTACGTCATCTGTGATTGAGGTTCAGCTGCAGCAAATCAAGGCATCAAAACTGAAATGTGATCATTTTGATTAGTTCTCACTCATTTTTTGCTTCCTTTCAGTCATCTGTTTCTTCCTTAATTTCTCCCATGCCTGTTCACTGGGTTCATTCACAAAGGATGCACACTTGGGGCCTGGAACATTCTGTGTGGGCAGTGATGATGAGCCACTGAAACCTACCCTCTTCTCAGGGGCCCTCACTGCTCCCCAGATACTGAGACCCTGCTCACTCCTAATGGACAGATCCAGAGGAATCCGTTCCTGATCTTTGGCCATGCCAGGAAATGGCTTCATTGGACCAGGAGTGAATTCACATGAAATTCACTGAAAGCTTCACATGAAGCTCAGAAAATTCCTGTGTTCAAAGCAGTCCAAATGACATTTGGACCATTTTTAGGAAAGTATGGCTTTTTATTAGGTGACAACATGGGGATGAGATTTGCTTTCTCCATTAAGGTGATACGTAAAGCTTTCTTTGAAGGGAGAGAAAACCCTAGAGTTTCCTGACCTTCCTTAACCTGAGCTGCTTGGTTCCCTAGAAGCAGAAATTGATCATATTAGAACCCAAACTCATACCAACCTTGACCTTCATGAAGTACTCAAGTGTTTCTGCTCTTCTTCCTCATGTGATGTAGAAAGTATTAAAAGTGATGAGTGTAGGCCGGGCACGGTGGTTCACACCTGTAATCTCAGCACTTTCAGAGGCCGAGGTGGGTGCATCACCTGTGGTCAGGAGTTCCAGACCAGCCTGGGCAACATGGTGAAACTCTGTCTCTACTAAAAATACAAAAACTAGCTGTGTGTGGTGGCCTGTGCCTGTAATTCCAGCTAACTGGGAGACTGAGGCAGGAGAATCACTTGAACCGGGAGGCAGAGGTTGCAGTGAGCTGAGATCGCACCATTGAACTCTAGCCTGGAAAACAAGAATAAAACTCCATCTCAAAAAAAAATTAATAAATAAATACATTATAAATAAATAAATTAATGCTTTAAAGAAAAAAGAAATAAATTTTGCCTACAAGTTTCATATGCAATTGAATACCTCTTAAATTTTGATGTGAACCGACCAGGCATGGTGGCTGAGGCCTGTAATCCAGCACTTTGGGAGGCCGAGGCAGGCAGACCACGAAGTCAGGAGATTGAGACCATCCTAGTTAATATGGTGAAACCCCGTCTTTACTAAAAATACAAAAAATTAGCCAGGTGTAGTGGCATGTACCTGTAGTCCCGGCTATTTAGGAGGCTAAGGCAGGAAAATTGCTTGAACCGGGGAGGCAGAGGTTGAAATGAGCTGAGATCGTGCCACTGCATTCCAGCCTGGTGACACAGTGAGACTCCATCTCAAAAAATAAATGAATAAAATAAATAAAAAAATAAATAAAAATACTGTGACAGGAACCAACATTGCTCAACTTGTACACTAATGTCTTACAAAATCCTTTCCTTGTCACCTTCAAATCTCCATTTCAAATGCTACACTCTGCATAACTCTACCACTTTGTTGCCATTTTCTGATGATGGAGAAGACCATATATGTGTGTGTGGCATCAGAACTATTGACTCCTCCTATTGATGTTTAAGATATTCCATTACACAAACCTGGGTTCATACTTTTTTGTTGATAGATCTTATGCCAAAAATGTAGGCGAAAAATGCCAAGCAGGAAATGCTATCACTTCTGAAGATGAATTCATAGAGATGGAAATTCTTTCAGAACTTATTTTTCCAGCTTTTTCCTTTGTTTGTTCATTTGTGTTTGTTTCCTTGTTTGTTTGTTTTGAGATGGAGTCTCGCTCTGTCACCAAGTTGGAGTGCAGTGGTGAAATCTTGGCTGACTGCAACCTCCTCCTCCTGAGATCAAGCGACTCTCCTGCCTCAGTCTCTCGAGTAGCTAGGATTATGGGTGGGCGCCACCATGCTCAGCTAATTTTTGTATTTTTAGCAGAGACAGGGTTTCACCATGTTGGCTAGGATGGTCTCAATTTTTTGGCATCGGGATCTACCTGCCTTGGCCTCCTGAAGTGCTGGGATAACAGGTGTGAGCCACCACCGTGCCCGGCCTTTTTTTTTTTTTCTTTTGAGATGGAGTCTCACTCTATTGCCCAGGCTGGGAATGGGACTCCTCCTATCAATTATTTTTTTAAATTTTCTTTTGTTTTATTGACCTGACAAGGCTCAAATAGAGTTGAGTTTTTGTTTTCGTTTTTTCCATTGGAAGAGACAATACAGAGGTTACAATCATTGGCTTTAGATGACAAGATAAAAGAATAAAACATATTCCTTGCAAGACAACCAGCAAAACTTCATGATCACCATCAAATCAGTGCCTTCTCACTGTCAGTGGGTGGAAGCCTTCATCAATACTTGCAGAGTTTGAGGCACTCATGAACTCACCATGAGATTCTTTACTCAGGGACAGGATGTAAGCCAAGCAAAAGACCTTCCACAGGTGGTGAATTTGGAAGCCTGCCCAATGTAACCTGCAAGTTTTCACTGGCAATATGCAGGTGCAGATATGACAAAGAATAACCATGACCTTTACATCACCCCCAGCTGTTGAGGAATGGGATCCTTTTGACCCTTTCTGTCCATAGAACCAGGTTGCTCATCTTGTGTGGCAACAACATATGTGGTCTACTTAACAGAGAAGAAGACTCTGTAAAAAAAATGTTTATTATGTAGTAAGCAAAGAAATGGGAATAGATGTGAGATTATTTGGGGAGATAAAGGAAGTTGAAGGTTTTGAAAGGAAAAATAAGGAGGATTATACAAATTGTTTTGAAAGACTCATACTTGGTCATGAGGATTAAAACCAAAAGCGCATCAGTGCAATGTTAGATAGATTCCTCTTACACCCACTCGATAACCCCCAACATGTTCAGCAAGTCTTGGTTCACTCCCAGGTTCCCATTAAAAACCCAGCTCAACCCTGACCAGCTCCACCCTCACTTCCATTTGTAATTTTGACATGACTTTATTACAGGACCATCAGGTTCCTATGCCTGCTGCACAGTAGCTTAGCAATATTCTGAGACAGCAGGGTTTGCAGCAGAGAGTTTAATGATCACAAGGTGGCTGAATGAGAAGCTAGGAGGAGATCCTCAAATTCATCTCCCCAAGGAGTACTGAGGGTTTCCAGTGGATCCTGGATAGCAAGGGGCCGGAAAGTTGGGGTAGCGGTAAGAGGGAAGAAGTCAACAGGATGTAGAAACTGCATTCTTTGGTGAGTTGGTGCATTGCAGGGCCCTTCAGATCAGCTGGCATCAGTAGATTCACTGACATGCAGAACCTGAAAGAATATCTCAGATGAAAAAGTTAATGTTTTACAATGCTTAAATGGTTGTCTGCAGGGAAGTTAAGGGGAACTGTAATCTAAGGTCTATATGATTTTGGAACAGTAGGTTGCCAGCAACCATGAGGAACCAGGTCAGAGAGCAAGAAGACCTCCTGATGAATGCTGAATGTGTTCCAAGCTTGGTTTATTTTTGTTTCTCTCCCTCCCTTCTTCACTGATTAAATTTATAAAGTTTATCGATGTGGCTTCAATTTCTTCCAAAGAAGACTTAACCTAAGCCCTGAGACCACTCACGCCCTCAGTGGCACCTCTCCTCCACCAGAATGAGCATGTAATCTGCTACCTTAGGTTATACAAAATCCCGAAGACCATTCAATACATTGAGATTTTTATTCTGATTTCCTAGGGACGACTCCTCTGTTTTTATAAAGCTTTTTAAAGTAGAAAGCATTTTTATATTTTGATGTGGCCAAAGATCTCCTAACAACACTACTTTCAGATTTTATTTTTCTGTCTAATGTTGGGAACAGATCAAATCCTTCCCTGCCTGTCACTCAAGACTATGAAGTTCACATATTAGTAAAATACCATCAGTGTTTGTGGAGTTCATGAATGAATGATTTTTTTATTTTTTGACAGAATGTCCCTCTGTCACCCAGACTGGAGTGCAGTGGCACAATTCTGGCTCACTGCAACCATTGCCTCCTGGGTTCAAGCAATTCTCCTGCCTCAGCCTCCCAAGTAGCTGGGTTTCAGGCACCTGCCATCATGCCCAGGTAATTTTTGTATTTTTGTATTTTTGTAGAGACAGGGTTTCACCTTTTTGACCTGGCTCGTCTTGAACCCCTGACATCAGGTGATCTACTCACCTTGTCCTTCCAAAGTGCTGGAATTACAGCTATGAACCACCTCACCCACCCTTGAATGAATGTATTCTTGACTTCTACCCTATCCCTACCACTGTCGATTTCTTGCTTCATGAAGTGAATATAGATATGTGATATGAATGGACATCTGATTCAATCCGGTAATCTGGGGAGAGCCAAAAACCCAATCAGGATTAACTGGGTGGAGCTTCACAAATGCAATCAGATATCATTTTTTGATTGGAAGGTAGCAGCGGATATGTGCAGGGGCGTGGGTGGGAGTTGTGATTAGAAAGGTCAATAAAAGCTTCTAAAGACGCACAGGAGAGACCCAAAGTCTTCAAGCCTGGAGTTCCTGCTTGGTTCTTCCTGAGGACTGAGCACCTTCTAGACTACATCCAGATCTGGTAAGCCACTAATTTCTGTAAGGACACTCCCATCTGACCTACAGTCAGTCGGTCTGGGATGGTGACAGTGCAGCCTACGATGGCACAGAGCTATATCCTGTCCTTTTTTTTTTCATATGAACAATTTGAAGCTTGAATGTTTTCCTCTAAATGCAGTTCTGTCTTTATTTCAAAAAAGTTGATTGTGCTTTGGTTGATGCCATTTTAAAATTCGTGAAGGGAGCAATGACTCATGTCTTTAACCCCAACACTTTGGGAGGCCAAAGTGGGAGGATCATTTCAGCCCAGGGGTTTGAGACCAACCTGGGCAACATGACAAAAGCCCTCCTCTACACAACGTTTTTTTTTTTTTGAGGGTGGGGATGGAGTCTCACTGTGTTGCCCAGACTGGAGTGCAGTGGCACGATCTCAAATCACTGCAACCTTTACCTCCCGGGTTCAAGCAATTCTCATGCCTCAGTCTCCATCCTCAGAAGCTGGTGTCACAGACATCTGAAACCATGCCTGGCTAATTTTTGTATTTTTAGTAGAGGTGGGGTTTCACCATGCTGGCCAGGTTGGTCTCGAACACCTGACCTCAAGTGATCCACCTGCCTTGGCCTCCCAAAGTGCTGGGATTACAGCTGTGAGTCACTGGTGCTTGGCCTCTACTTTTTTTTATTTTAATTAGCCGAGCATGGTGACATGCATCTGTAGTCCCAGCTATTTGGGTGGCTGGTGTGGGAGAATCACTTGAGCCCAGAAGATTGAGGCTGCAGTGAGCCATGCTCACACCACTGCTGTACTCCAGCCTGGGCAAAAGAGAGAGACCCTGTCCAAAAAACAAAAACAATATCTTAACCAAAAAGGATCTATGACCTTAATTTTAAACCAATCACGTCCTCACTGTAATTCTTCCACTCGAATGGAGACATGGGTGTGGGGGTGCATGCCTGTAATCCCAGCTACGTGGAAGGCTGAAGCATGAGAATTGCTTGAATCTCAGAGGTGGAGGTTACAGTGAGCTGAGATGGCGCCGCTGCACTCCAGCCTGGGCGACAAAGTGAGACTCAGCTTCCCCCACACCAAAAAAAATTAGATTATACCACCCAGGTGATCATTGGATACATGAAGATTTCTATTGTGTGTTCTTGGGGACTGTCAACTCTGTCTTTGAAAACTGTTTTAACTCTGAAATATTTTGATAAATTTGATGTGGCCGAGGATCCCTCAACAAAGATACTTTCAAGTTTTTTCTTTCTGTCTAATATCAGGAAGAGATTCAACCCTTCCCTATCTCACACTCAGGACTGTGAAGGACACATATTAATAAAACCCCATTTTGTTTGTGAAGGGAATCAGTGAATGAGTCCTGGGCTTCCACCCCATCCCTAAATCTTTCACTTTGATGGGTGAATATCTAATTCCATCAGTAAATCTGGAAGAAAGCCAAAAATCCAATCAGGATTAACTGGGTAAATTCGAATCAAATCTAGCTCTCTCTCTCTCCTTTTTCTTTTTCTTTTTTTTTTTTTTTTTTTTTTTTTTTTTTGAATCTAGCCTATTTCCCAGGCTGGAGTTCAGTGGTGTATTGTCAGCTCACTGCAACCTCTGCCTCCTGGGTTCAAGCGATCTTCCTGTCTCAGCCTCCCTAGTAGCTTGGACTATAGGCGCAGACCACCGCAACTGGCTAATTTTTGTAATTTTAGTAGAGGTAGGGTTTTACCATGTTGGCCAGGCTTGTCTCAAACTCCTGACCTCAGATAATCCACCTACCTCTGCGTCCCAGAGTGCTGGGATTACAGGTGTGAGCCACTTCGTCTGGCCTTGAATGAATGTATTCTTGACTTCTACCCTATCCCTAACACTGTCGATTTCTTGCTTCATGAAGTGAATATAGATATGTGATATGAATGGACATCTGATTCAATCCGGTAATCTGGGGAGAGCCAAAAACCCAATCAGGATTAACTGGGTGGAGCTTCACAAATGCAATCAGATATCATTTTTTGATTGGAAGGTAGCAGCGGATATGTGCAGGGGCGTGGGTGGGAGTTGTGATTAGAAAGGTCAATAAAAGCTTCTAAAGACCCACAGGAGAGACCCAAAGTCTTCAAGCCTAGAGTTCCTGCTTGGTTCTTCCTGAGGACTGAGCACCTTCTAGACTACATCCAGATCTGGTAAGTCACTAATTTCTGTAAGGACACTCCCATCTGACCTACAGTCAGTCGGTCTGGGGTGGTGACAGTACAGCCTACGATGGCACAGAGCTATATCCTGTCCTTTTTTTTTTTCATATGAACAATTTGAAGCTTTGAATGTTTTCCTCTAAATGCAGTTCTGTCTTTATTTCAAAAAAGTTGATTGTGCTTTGGTTGATGCCATTTTAAAATTCTTGAAGGGAGCAATAACTCATGCCTTTAACCCCAACACTTTGGGAGGCCAAAGTGGGAGGATCATTTCAGCCCAGGGGTTTGAGACCAACCTGGGCAACATGACAAAAGCCCTCCTCTACACAACGTTTTTTTTTTTTGAGGGTGGGGATGGAGTCTCACTGTGTTGCCCAGACTGGAGTGCAGTGGCACGATCTCAAATCACTGCAACCTTTACCTCCCGGGTTCAAGCAATTCTCATGCCTCAGTCTCCATCCTCAGAAGCTGGTGTCACAGACATCTGAAACCATGCCTGGCTAATTTTTGTATTTTTAGTAGAGGTGGGGTTTCACCATGCTGGCCAGGTTGGTCTCGAACACCTGACCTCAAGTGATCCACCTGCCTTGGCCTTCCAAAGTGCTGGGATTACAGCTGTGAGTCACTGGTGCTTGGCCTCTACTTTTTTTTTTTTAAATTAGCCGAGCATGGTGACATGCATCTGTAGTCCCAGCTATTTGGGTGTCTGGTGTGGGAGAATCACTTGAGACCAGAAGATTGAGGCTGCAGTGAGCCATGCTCATACCACTCCTGTACTCCAGCCTGGGCAAAAGAGAGACACCCTGTCCAAAAAACAAAAACAAAATCAATCAAAAAGGATCTTTGACCTTAATTTTAAACCAATCACATCCTCTTCCACCCAAATGGAGACATGGCTGCAGGGGGTGCATGCCTGTAGTCCCAGCTATGTGGAAGGCTGAAGCATGAGAATTGCTTGAATCTTGGAGGCCGAGGCAACAGTGAGCCGAAATGACACCACTGCACTCTAGCCTGGCCGATGAAGTGAGATTCAGCTCCCTCAACACCAAAAAGACTTATGCCACCTAGGTGATCATTGGATATATGAAGATTTCTATTGTGTTTTCTTAGGGACTGTCATCTCTGTCTCTGAAAACTGTTTTAACCCTGAAATATTTTGATAAACTTGGCATGGCCAAGGATCCCTCAACAAAGATACTTTCAAGTTTTCTTTCTTTCTGTCTAATATCAGGAAGAGGTTCAACCCTTCCCTGTCTCACACTCAGGACTTTGAAGGACACATATTAGTAAAACCCCATGTTTGTGAAGGGAATCAGTGAATGAGTCCTGGACTTTCACCCTATCCCTAAATCTTTCATTTTGATGAATGAATATCTAATTTGATCAGTTAATATTTAAGAAAGGCAAAAATCCAATCAGGATTAACTGGGTAGAGATTAAGAATTCTAATCAAATGTAGCTCTCTCTGTCTCTCTGTTCAATCTAGCCTATTTCCCAGGCTGGAGTGGAGTGGTATAATGTCAGCTCACTGCAACTTCTGCCTCCTGGATTCAAGCGATCCTCCTACCTCAGCCTCCCTAGTAGCTTGGACTACAGGCGCAGACCACTGCACCTGGCTAATTTTTGCTGTCTTAGTAGAGGCAGGGTTTTACCATGTTGGCCAGGCTCGTCTTGAACTCCTGATCTCAGATGATCCACCTGCCTCGGCCTCACAAAATGCTCAGATTACAGGTGTGAGTCACTGCACCCAGCCAAAGTGGTTCACTTTGAATATGTGTAAGAGGTGTGCATTGGAAACATCTATCTTGTGAGTAATGCATAACAGTGTCACATAGCTTTCAGAGCTTCTCACTGAAATTTTCAATAATGAGGCAGGGGTGGAGGCTCACACCTATAATCCCAGTATGTTGGGAGGCCAACAGGGGTAGATTGCTTGAGACTAGGAGTTCAAGACCAGCTTGGACAACATAGCGAAATCCACTGTCTTTACAAAAAGTCAAAAAATAAAAGATGAGCTGGGTGTGGTGATGCATAACTGTGGTCCCAGCTACTTGGGAGGCTGAGGAGGAAGAATCCTTTGAGCTGGGAGGTCAAGGCTGCACTGAGCTGAGATCCCACCACTACACTCCAGGCTGGGTGACAGAGCAAGACCCTGTCAGAAAGAGTGAGAGAGGGAGAGAGAGAAAGAGAGAGAGAATGAGAGAAGGGATGCAGGGAAAGAAGACAAGAAAGAAAGAAGGCAGAGAGAGGGGGAAAGAAAGAAAGAGGGAGAGAGAGGAGGAAACAAAGAAAGAAGGGAGGGAGAGAGGGAAAGAAGGAAAGAAGAAAGAGAGAGAAAGAGAAAGCAAGCTTAAATAATGAAAAGAAAACAAATAGAACCTGTTCTAGGGATGCCCCATGAATGTTCCCAACAAGCTTATTTGTAGGAACTGAAAATGTGGGCATGTAGGCTTGTGACATTCCCATTCCCATTGTTTTAGAACCTTGAGTAATTAGTAATTTCCCCCAATGGTAGGAGGGGTTCACTTTCAGGTTCCTCCACACTCACTAGTCACTGGATGGAGCACTGGATAGAAAGGAAGGGCTCGTGGTGGCCCTGCTTCCTCACTGCTTCGGAGACGCTCATGCTGATGCAGCAGAGGCAGAATGCTGGCTTAATGGCCACTGAGTACAGGGCAGAATTGGAGTAAACTGAGGGCTGTTTCACCATTGCCAGAGCAGTGACTTTGGCCTTGGGAGAAGATAAGATTGCATGGGCTTGGCCTGAGAGTGATGCCTTTTCTCTGGGTTTGTCCTCTGGAAGTTTTCCCTGCAGATTCGTGAAGATGAGCATCCGGACTCCACCCAGACTCCTGGAGCTTGCAGGGCGGAGCCTGCTGAGGGACCAAGCCTTGGCCATGTCCACCCTGGAGGAGCTGCCCACAGAACTTTTCCCCCCACTGTTCATGGAGGCCTTCAGCAGGAGACGCTGTGAGGCCCTGAAGCTGATGGTGCAGGCCTGGCCCTTCCGCCGCCTCCCTCTGAGGCCTCTGATAAAGATGCCTTGTCTGGAGGCCTTCCAAGCTGTGCTCGATGGGCTGGATGCACTGCTTACCCAAGGGGTTCATCCCAGGTGAGGTGGCCCAGGTGGGCTGGTGGGGAGGGCCCAGGTATCCAACCAAAGGAAGAGCTGTGTCATGACAAGTGAGGAGGCCCAAGGGGGATGGTGGTGGTGAGGAAGCCGAGAGGACTTGGCCATTCACCAGCTCCTCAGGGAAAGCACTGCTCACCACGCAAGGTCCATGGAGGTAACAGGAACCTCTCCTCTAATGGCACTGAAAGGCACCATGAAAAGTGAGAACTGGGCCGGGCACGGTGGCTCACAATGTAATCCCAGCACATTGGGAGGCTGAGGCCAAGAGTTGGAGGCCAGCCTGTCCAACATGGTAAACCCCAACTCTACTAAAAATACAAAAATTAGCTGGGCATGGTGGTGGGTTCCTGTAATCCCAGCTACTTGTGAGGTTGAGGCAGGAGAATCATTTGAACCCGGGAAGCAGAGGTTGCAGTGAGGTGACATCACACCACTGCACTCCAGCCTGGGCGACAGAGGGAGACGTGGTCTCAAAAGAAAAACAAAAAAATGTGGAAGTGGGCAGGATCCAAGGGGAAAACAGGGTGAAGAAAAGTCAGAGAGAGGGACAAGAAGCAGGGAGGGGAGGAGCTGCTCTCCAGGATGTGGAGTTTAAGTTCAGAAATGAGTTCTGAAATTCTCATTCTCACCTCTATTTTCCCACAGGAGGTGGAAACTTCAAGTGCTGGATTTACAGGATGTCTGTGAGAACTTCTGGATGGTTTGGTCTGAAGCTATGGCCCATGGGTGCTTCCTCAATGCCAAGAGGAACAAAAAACCAGTGCAGGACTGTCCAAGGATGAGAGGACAGCAGCCCTTGACTGTGTTCGTAGAACTTTGGCTCAAGAACAGGACTCTGGATGAATACCTCACCTGCCTCCTTCTATGGGTCAAGCAGAGGAAAGATTTACTACACCTGTGCTGTAAGAAGCTGAAAATTTTGGGAATGCCCTTCCGCAATATCAGAAGCATCCTGAAAATGGTGAACCTAGACTGTATCCAGGAGGTGGAAGTGAATTGCAAGTGGGTACTGCCCATCCTGACACAGTTTACCCCATACCTGGGCCACATGAGGAATCTTCAGAAGCTCGTTCTCTCCCACATGGATGTCTCTCGCTACGTTTCCCCAGAGCAGAAGAAGGAGATTGTTACCCAGTTCACCACTCAGTTCCTCAAGCTGTGCTGCCTCCAAAAGCTTTCTATGAACTCTGTTTCTTTCCTCGAAGGCCACCTGGACCAGCTGCTCAGGTGAGGGAGGGTGGTGAGCTTTCTCTGCAGACCACAGCAGAGCCTGTTACAGTAAACGCTAGTGGGCATCTACTGTGAGCCAGCCTATGAGGATGAAACAGTGAAGGGGACACTAGAATGTCCATGCATTGTCCTGTTGGCGGCCCTGTCCTGAAATGGGTATCATGCAACCCTCCCAATAGAGGCAGAGGGATCAGCTAGGGGAGATGCTATGGAGAGGCTGCCATGCTAGGAAGCTAGCTCCTGGGGGGTTCAGATCTAGTGAGGGTGCCTTTCTGAATTCTTCCTGAGGATGTGTGTCTAAGTTAAGATGATGAAAAATAGGCCAGGGGCGGTGGCTCATGCCTGTAATCCTAGCAGTTTGGGAGTCTGAGGCAAGAGGATAGCTTGAGCCTAGGAGTTTAAGACCAGTCTGGGTAACATACCAAGACCCCTGTCAGAAATGAATAAATAAAAGTAAAAACAAACAAGATAACTTTCTTTTCTGAGATGGAGTTTCACTTTGATCGTCCAGGCTACAGTGCAGTTGTGACATCTCAGCTCGCAGCAACTTCTGCCTCCCAGGTTCAAGCGATTCTCCTGCCTCAGCCTCCTGAGTGCCTGGGATTACAGGCGTGAGCCACCACACCTGGCTAATTTTTATATTTTAAGTAGAGACAGGGTTTCACCATGTTGGCCAGGCTATTCTCCAACTCCTGACTTCAGGTGATCCACCCACCTTGGACTCCCAAAGTGCTGGGATTATAGGCGAGAGCTACCACGCCCAGCCAACAAGATAATTTTTAAGAAGATGATGTGAAGTAGGGAAGTGAAGTGGGCACTGAAGAGGGGAATGCTCAGCAAACCTGCACATGTCAGAAAATCAGCTTTGTGCCCCACAGTTTCGTGAACATGAATGATCCCATCTCTAATTCCGTGTTGTAAAAGTTTCTTTTGAGCTCCAGGTAAATTAATTACCTAGGAAATGCATGATTCTGAAACAGAGGGTCAGGGAGCAGGCACAAAGAATGGTGAAAGTGATAGATGGTTTGCTGATGATACAGGCTTGTCAGGGACGCCTGCAGCCCGCCCACCGTAGCTGATGTTGCAGGATCCTGTCTGGGTTTGTCCTTTATGCCTGAATCTCCACTGGGCTCCTGTGGCCCAGGGATGTGGTTTTCTGCCTGACAGATGAGGAAAGGGAGCTTTAGGGATTCTGTGAACTTGATCCATTCCTATAAATGATGGTGAAGTGACTCAGCCTCAAATGGAATTATTTTTTTCTCCTTTTTTTTTTAATGCGGAGTCTCTCTCTGTCACCCAGGCTGGAGTGTAGTGGCATGATCTCTGCTCACTGCAACCTACACCTCCTGGGTTCAAGCGATTCTTCTGCCTCAGCTTCCCAAGTAGCTGGAATTGCAGGCTCCCGCCACCACACCTGGCTAATTTTTGGATTTTTAGTAGAGAGGAGGTTTTGCCATGTTCAGCAGGCTGGTCTCAAACTCCTGATCTCAAGGAATCCACCAGTCTCAGCCTCCCAAAGTGCTGGGATTACAGGTGTGAGTTACTGGGCCGGGCCTAAAGTGGAATTGACCTCGGTGGCAAAGCTCTTCATCACACATCATCCTAAATGTTGACCATCAGGCCATCAGAATGACCCTGGACTTGGGCAAAATGGTCTCCATCCATTACCTTGAAGCCATTCCCCACCACCCTCCACTCACCCCTATGATTCCCCAGAATTAACTTCTTGCTCTCTCTCCCCAGCTGTCTGAAGACCTCGTTAAAGGTCCTCACAATAACTAACTGTGTGCTTTTGGAATCAGACTTGAAGCATCTATCCCAGTGCCCGAGTATCAGTCAACTAAAGACCCTGGACCTGAGTGGCATCAGACTGACCAATTACAGTCTTGTGCCTCTCCAAATTCTCCTAGAAAAAGTTGCAGCCACCCTTGAGTACCTGGATTTAGATGACTGTGGCATCATAGACTCCCAAGTCAACGCCATCCTGCCTGCCCTGAGCCGCTGCTTTGAGCTCAACACCTTCAGCTTCTGTGGAAATCCCATCTCCATGGCCACCCTGGAGAACCTGCTGAGCCACACAATCATACTCAAAAACTTATGCGTGGAGCTGTATCCTGCCCCCCGGGAGAGTTATGATGCTGATGGTACTCTCTGCTGGAGCAGATTTCCTCAAATTAGGGCTGAGCTGATGAAGAGAGTGAGGGACTTAAGGCACCCCAAGAGGATCTTGTTCTGTACTGACTGCTGCCCTGACTGTGGCAACAGGTCATTTTATGACCTGGAGGCAGATCAATGCTGCTGTTGAATGCCTGCCTATTTGGGTGGATATGTCAAACGCTTTCTTCTGGACACTTGGAAACTAAAACCTAGGTCTTAGGTACATCCTATAGGGAGCACAGAACCCATCATTTCACACATGGGCTCTGAAAGTGGGAAAGGAAAGGTGATCAAGCAGGGGCAGGACTTGGGGGAAGTGTTGCCATGGATTCGATGGGACTTTGGGGACCTGTGTCCTGTAGAGTGGAAAATGGGAATTTGAATGTCTAGAGTGGAGGCTTGAGAATACTTGAGGGAGTTACTCTTGGATGCATGGTTGTAAAGAAACAATCAGAAATAAAGGAAAACTGAGTGGTAACTGTCTGGTGCCCTCTATTATTAAGTAACCTGTTTTCCAGTTTAAGCCTCAGGAATCTTCAGTTATTGACGGAAAAAACAAAAGGCACTGAGTTGTCCAATCAATAAGATGCTACCCAAGAAAATCAAGGCATTTAAATGAAATTTGGTTATTGTAATCAGTTTCCTCCCATTCTTTTATTTGAGACAGAGTTTCACTCTTGTTGACCAGGTTGGAGTTTAGAGTGCAATGGTGCCATCTCAGCTGACTGCAACCTCCACCTGGGGTTTAAATGATTCTCTTGCCTCAGCCTCCCAAGTAGCTGAGATTACAGGCATGCACCACCATGCCCAGCTAATTTGTGTATGTTTAGTAGCGACAGGGTTTCCTCACTATGTTGGTCAGACTGTTCTCAAACTCCTGACTTTGGGTGATCCACGCAAGTAGGCCTACCAAAGTGCTGGGATTACAGGCGTGAGCCACTGTGTCAGGCTTGTTTTTGTTTTTGTTTTTTAAAGGTCTCCTGTCACTCAGGCTAGAGTGCAGCGGCACAATCATAGCTCACTGCAGCCTCAATTTCCTGGGTTCAAGCGATCCTCCCACCTCAGCCTCCTGAGGAGCTAGGACTACAGGCGTGTGAGCAACCATGCCTGTTTGCTTGTTTTTTTAAGTGGTGACAAGGTCTCGCTGTCTTGCCCAGGCTGATCTGGAACTCCTGAGCTTGTGATTCTCCTGCCTTGGCCTCCCAAAATGCAGGGAGTATAGGCGTGGACCACCACGATTGGCTTGGCCTCCTCCAGTTCTTCACTTCTTTAGATGTCTGTTAATTCCTTGTTAGTTTCTGTGGCTGTTCAGTGGGTTAATACACACTAGGTGGAAACCAAGGGTCTGGAACATTACTGGGCAAGAACAGTGAGCCAATCCACGTGGAAAGCACCTTCTTCTCAGGGTCTTTCACTGCTAGCCAGATGCTGAGACCCTGCCCACTCCTTGTGAGTCTCCACATGGTTCCAGAAGCCTTAGTTGGTGGATGTCAGCTTCACTGCACAAGGAGCCACTCTCTTCCCGCTGCCCTGGAAGGGGATGTCCATATTGTGTATTAGCTGGAGACTCTGGGCAGCACCAACCCTTGCTTGTTCTCCTGATGACCAGCAGCCCTTCTTGAATTAAACTGGTTGTAGCCAGTAAAGACAGCCACATTCCCTTTAAGTAAAATACTAAAACTACACAGGTATGTAACACTTTTTAAATATTTCCATCTGACATTTAAAAAGTTACTTCTTATTAGGGAGCTAGGTCAGATCGATGAGAGATTTTCTCATAACACCTCCCCTCTCTCCCTATCAAGGAAGAGACCAGTGCAGCGTGTTCTGGAATCTCACATGATCAAAGGGTGGATAACAATCAAGTGCCTGTGGGTGATGAGTGACCTTCCCTGTGCTGAGGAAGCCTGCATAATGGGCACCCAAGTGAAGGATCCTGCTGAGGATTCAGGGGCTGGTATTGCTGTCAGGGATCTTAACCAAGAGCCTCAGGTCCCTGTAAAATGAGGATGATGTCCAACGGCTTATAGGACCCTGCAAGGATCCAATAAGATGGTTCATGTTTAGGGCTTGGCATGGGGACTGGCATACAGTTAGATGAATACATCTTGTTCTTTTTTCTCTTCTCAGCAGAAGTCCCAGCAATTTTCATCTTTCAATCTATCTCACCTCCTATTCCTGATAACAGGGAGGCAACAAGAACCCAGGGCATGCAATGGGGCTCATCTTCTACCCTCTGCCACAACTTCATCATGACTCCCCCAAACAGCAGAGCCCCAGGAGCCAGCAGGGGGCAGGGTGGGCATTTCTGGACTGGATTCATTCCTAAGAAGAGTAAAATGTCCAATCCATAGGTCTCGGGTGCCATCTGCTGGTAGATCAGATCAGATGGTGTAATTTAATGTTGCAAGGATTATATTATATGGTATTTTTTTAAATTTACTATTATGAGCCAGGAGCGGTGGCTCGTGTCTGTAATCCCAGCACTTTGGGAGGCTGAGGCCATTGTCATGGCCAGGCTTGGTGTCTCACACCTGTAATCCCAGCATTTTGGGAGGCTGAGGCGGGCAGATCACTTCAGGTCAGGATTTTGAGACCAGCCTGGCCAACATGGTGAAACCCCGTCTCTACTCAAAATACAAAAAAAATTGCTGGGCGTGGTGGCATTCGCCTGTAATCCCAGGTATTCAGGAGACTGAGGCAGGACAATCACTTGAACCCGGGAGGCGAAGGTTGCAGTGAGCTGAGATCGCACCACTGCACTCCAGCCTGGGCAACAGAGCAAGAAAAGAAAATTTACTATAATGTGAATACTAGTTGAGTATAAATATTTGTGTTGTAATTTATGTATATGAAAGATATAAAACTTTTAAAGAATGCAATGTGATATTTTAAGAATGGTTAATGGCCAGGCGTGGTGGCTCACGCCTGTAATCCCAGCACTTTGGGAGGCCGAGGCAGGCAGATCACGAGGTCAGGAATTTGAGAGCAGCCTGGCCAATGTGGTAAAAACCCGTCCCTACTAAAAATACAAAAAATTAGCCTGGTGTGGTGACGGGCCCCTGTAATCCCAGATAGTCAGGAGGCTGAGGCAAGAGAATCTCTTGAACCCAGGAGCAAATGCTGTTGACCACGTGATGCATGGAAACGTTTGTCATGGGTATAGCCACTGAATTGCTAACTTAGGGACGTCAACATTAGCTCACTACCAATAATATAAATACATTGGATTATGGAAAAAATTGCCTTTGTGATACCATATCCATGTGTGACATGAGAGTCCAGCAATTGGCCCGGTGTGGTGGCTCACGTCTGTAATCCCAGCACTTTGGGAGACTGAGGCGCATGGATCACTTCAGGTCAGGAGTTCGAGACCAGTCTGGGCAACACGGTGAAACTCTGTATCTATTAAAAACACAAAAATTCCCACCTATGAGTGAGAACATGCGGTGTTTGTTTTTTTGTCCTTGTGATAGGATGGGAATTGAACAATGAGAACACATGGACACAGGAAGAGGAACATCACACACTGGGGCCTGTTGTGTGGGGAGTGGGGAGGGATAGCATTTGGAGATATACCTAATGTTAAATGACAAGTTACTGGGTGCAGCACACCAACATGGCACATGTATACATGTGTAACTAACCTGCACATTGTGCACATGTACCCTAAAACTTAAAGTATAATAAAAACAAATACAAAAATTAACTGG
The DNA here is from genome assembly GCF_000001405.40 of Homo sapiens. Taxonomy (NCBI): domain Eukaryota; kingdom Metazoa; phylum Chordata; class Mammalia; order Primates; family Hominidae; genus Homo; species Homo sapiens. The sequence continues at coordinate 421,017 of NW_012132914.1, forward strand.
GCGTGGTGGCAAGTATCATCCCAACTACTGGGGAGGCCGAGGGAGGAGAATTGCTTGAACCCAGGAGGTGGAGGTTACAGTGATCAAAGATCATGCCACTGCACTCCAGCCTGGGCAACAGAGCGAGATGCCATATCAAAAAAAAAAAAAAAAAAAAAAAGAGAGAGAGAGAAAAGAAAACAAAACAAAAGAAAGTCCAGCATGGTAAAAGGTACATAGAGGTACATTTGGGTGAGCTTCCTTTGTTTTTCATTCTTTTTCCCTTCTCTGGACAGAATTCTCAATGCAAAACATTCCAAAAACACAGAGCAAGTGTCTTCTATAACCTTCCCTTTTTTTGAGACTTCTCTTCACAGTGTATGTGCTAGTGTCTTCCAGACTTTTGTGTGACATGCTATACAGAACATCAGATCAAACGGGCACATCCCTAATAAGTGGTGACTTGCCAGATCTGGACTCACTTTGCAGGGTGCTGGGACCTCTCTGAGAATCAAGCAGTAGCTCCAGGAGCCAGGGCTTTGGGTCTCTTCTGTGCATCTTCAGGAGTTTTATTGACTTTTCTCACCACAACCCCCTTCTCAATTACCAACTTCCAATCCAAAAATGACATCCAACTGGATCCTGAACTTCCACCCAGTTAACGGTGATTGAGTTTTCAACTTTCTTCTTATTAAGTGATTAAATTAGATATGGATTTATGAAAGTGAAAGAATTAATAATAGGGTGAAGGACTAAAACTCATTTATTCACTTATTCCATAAATATTGGTAAAGTTTTACCAATATGTGACCTTCATAGTGATACAGGGAAGGTTTTAATCTGTTTCAGACATTAGAAATACATATATTTATATATGGTATCTTTATTGGAGAACCTTTGGCCACATCAAAAGTATCAAAACTTTTCAGAGTTAAAACAGCTTTAAGAAGACAGTGATGTCATCCCTAAAAACACAATAAAAATCTCAGTGTATCCACTGGTCACCTGGGTTTTGCGCTACCTAACATGGTAGATCATATGCCCATTCAGGTGGAAGACAGGAACTACTGAGGGTGTAATTTATCTCAAGGTTAAGGTCAAGGCATCACTGAAAGAAATCAGGCCTAAATTACAAAGTGAGGTGGAGGTTGGGCTGGACAGTACTGACTGTTCTAATGGGACCCTAGGAGGGAACCAAGACAACATAAAACATGGCAGGTATTTTGTGGGCATCTAGACAAAAGGATTGAAAGACTTCCTTCTACATTGAGTTTAAAAATTAAAAAAACCTAATTACAAAAGAGATAATGCAGACTCGTAAAACATCACAGTGTCTTTGAGGGCAGAGAGGGCAGACACAATCTTGACTCCTACTGGAAGGTGAAGCATCATTACTCACAAACAGGATGGGCTTCCCTCAGAATACCAGCTTGGGAAGAGTGAATCTGAGTGTGTGAGCTGGGGCAGAGCCCAGAGAGGAGCAGTGTGGTCAGACATAAGGAGGGAGACTTTTCAATCTGGAAGCATGAATGGTGCAAGCTGTGTATCTGAAGAATTTGGGAGAAAAATGAACCTCTTGGGGGAATCCTGCACCATCCTCAGGACCCCAGTGAGAATCCTGCAGTTTCGGGGGTCTTTCTACCATGTTCTGGTTGCCTGTGCTTCTGAAGGTGCTCCTCTGCTGTCCAGGTCAGAGTAGCTTTCAGAGCCCATCTGAAGGGACGGCCTGACTTCAATTCCACTCACAGAATTTCTACTGGGATTCCAAAGCTTCTCCAGGCTTTTGATGGGGGTCTCTAAAATATTTCTGAATTTCTGTTTTCCTCCCCCAGCCTGAGCTGTGAGAGAAGCTGAATCCTCTGCTTCCTGGAAATGTCAGCCGATCTCTCCTGCACCGAGGACTATGGCCACAAACAATGCTAAGAGACACTCTCCCTGGAATCAGCAGTGACTCATACATTCTCCCCAAATTCTACTGAGCTTTTTGGGTGCACATAGCAAGGCACAAAGCAGGGAGCTCCTCAGCTGCTCTTCCGGACCTAAAGAGGCACCCAGGACCAATGGAGGGGAAGTTTGTCTGCCTTCCACAGGAAGAGCTGACTCCTCTGGTTTTCCTAGAAGTGCCAGGCTGTTGGCAGAGCCTGGGACAGGTCCCAGTGCAGGGGGCCATCCCTTCTAGGATCCCCTTGCCCAGTCTTAGAGCTGACGAGGCTGCACCTGGAATGCAGTGAGTCTGTTTCTGAGTCAGGGCTTTCTTTGCCCATGGTGTTTGCCCTCTCCATGTTTCTAACAGTAGAAATCACTGTTCAGGCCCTGCTGGACTTCTTTAGTCCTCAACAGGATCTCATTCCAGGTCGCATTTGTGACCGTCTTTTCCAAGATCAGGGGCTGCCCCTCCTTTTTTCCCCAATAAAGATCTGAGGAGAAGCTCACTCTGAAAGCAGAGTAGATGCCTAAGAAGGTGCTTGTGGCAGCCTGGGGTGGGGGAGGTCTGGGAACTCGCTGCAGGCTGGATGGAGCCAGGAGGACTAAGGAAAAGAACAGGGCCCAGAAAGGGAGTGGCCCAGAGGAGCTGATGTGGGCCAGAGTAAGTACAGAGGAGAGAGATGGCAGCAGGGTAGGGGGCCGGGTTATTTGGCTTTCACAGAGCCGCGTCCCTGATAAGCTGTGGACTTGTGTCTGAGATCCTCAAAGGACCTGTGCCTGGATGTGGAGCTGTGAGTTTCTAAGGCCCTTTGATTTCACCCTGGTCTACATGAGGTTCCAGTGGCTGCCCCATCTCACCCCAGGGGCAAAGAGTCAGTCTAGCAGGGAGACATGGGGAGAGAGAGTCAATGGCAAACATCCACCCTGGATGCAAAGACAAGGGACATGTCAGAGGGAGGGAGACTTGGTGTGAGGCCAGGGGAAGGGAGGCACGTTGGATATGGTGCAGTTCTGTCTCTGCACTTGCCACAGCCTCATAGGACTGTGAGGATTGAACTTTGCAGGAGGGAATGAGGTAGAATGGGGTCTGGACTGGAGTCCCTGTCATCCAAGTGACCCCCATATCTACTCCTGCCAACCAGGTGAAGGTCTTGCTAGATGTAAGTCAAACCAGGACCTATCAGACTGCCTGGCACTTTCTGATGGATCTAGAAGGAGCACAGTGATCCTCAGTCAAAAAAAATCTTGCATTGTCCAGGGCTGAGGATTTTCAGGTGGCCCTGGAGGGGGAGACTCTGGGGAAAAACCACAGAGAAGATTTTGGCACATTTGACACTATTAACATCCAGTGCCTCCCCTTCCTATTGGTCGGGTGTGGTGGCAGGAGAATTGCTTGAACCCGGGAAGCAGAGGTTGCAGTGAGCTGAGATCACGCCATTGCACTCCAGCCTGGGTGGGCAACAAGAGTGAAACTCTGTCTCAAAAACAAACAAACAAACAAAACAAACAGACAAAAAAATGTGAAACAAAAAAAAAAAACCTTTGAATGAGTGCCTGCAATGTGCCACCTACTATTCTGGGTGCTACTTAGGATAAACAAGAAGCAAGGCAGCTGCAAAGTGAGCTCAACAGAATACACCTGGCTTGGCAGTGCAGTGCAGATCAGAAAAAAAATGCCTGTGCAGCATAAAATGTGAAGAGACATCTTCTTTGCTTTTCTTTTCTTTCTTCTTCTTTTGAAAGACAGAGCCTTACTCTGTTTCTAAGGCTGGCGTGCAGTGGTGCAATCTCGGCTCAGTGCAGCCTCGGCCTCTCAGGCTGAAATGATCCTCCCATGTCAGTCTGCCAGTTAGCTGGAAACACAGGTGTGTTGCATGGAATATCTTTTTCTACCCCTTCACTTTCAGACTACATGTGTCCTTATAGGTGAAGTGAGTTTCTGGAAAACAGCATATAGTATGGTCTTATTCTTTTACTCATTCAACGACCCTAAGACTTTCACTTGCAGAACTGAGATATATTGTCTTCATTGTTGTTATTGATAAAGGCTTAGTACTCCCATTTAATTTCTTGTTTTCTGGTTGGTTAGAGACTTCTCTCTTCCATCCTTCCTTTCTTATTGTCTTTCTTTGTGTTTAAGTAATTTTCCCTTATGAAATCCTTGGGATGTGACTTTTCTGGCCAGAAGCCTCTATGGCTGGGGGCACCTTTGCCGGAGTTTTGATGGGGTTCACTGGGTTTGTTCTGCCCACTCAGACTGGTAGACTATGCTTGGCTCATGCTTCAGGCCTGGATCACATGCCTATTAAGGGAGGGTCAGGACTGGAGCAGTGAGGGGTGTGTGAGTGAGCAGGGGGTCTGGTCACTTTGGACAGTCACTGGCTCCCGCAGCAGTGGGGCAGGCAGCTCCAGGTGCCAGCACAGGTGCCAGATTTTTGCAAGGCTGCAAATGAACCAGGCACAGCAAAAGCAGCTTCCATGTTTGTCCCTGGAGTACACAGTGGTGTCTGCTGCTCTTTCCAGGAAAGTCATCTCATCATCTCCACAGCTCTCAGTAGAGAAAAGGCCCCAGAGTGGATTGCTTGTCTGCAGGAAAATCATCCCAAGAGTGGGTAGTTTCACTCTGCCACTGTTCATCCTGATGTTTTCCCTGAGTCTGGGGCTGTTGGGGCATCATGGGGAAGGAAGTATGTGCTGCTTGGGTCATAGGTAGCCATTGGCAGGCACAGAAAAGGCACCACATATTCCCACTCTGGTCCATAGCACTGGTGGACCAGCCCACGGGCTTCAGGCCCCCCTTGGTCACAAGGTAGAGCCTCACCAGGTACCCTCGTCTTCCCATCCAGGAGTCTGTCTGCCTCCCACCACCACCCATGGCGCCCAGGTCACTTGCATCAAGGAGCATCCAAAGGCCAGCACTGATCTGTCCTCAGCCCCCTCTCAGCCTCCCTCCCATGCTCATCAGGGCCCAAAGCCCAGAGTGTTCAAGACAGCAGGCAGACGGTGCATCAGCACGAACCTGAGCATGCACACGCTCATCTGGGCTGCCACAGCATACATGCTTGACCCCAACTCCGCTCCAAAATTACAGCAGGTGCCAGGAGGGACCACACAGTGGGAGCAGACACCCCCATGCTGCAGGAGAAGGGGAGACCTCCTGAGCCCTCAAGAGCACTGGGGGACCTTGGTTGGAACTGCGACCTGGGCAGCTTCAGTTGTGCCTTTGGAGCTACTGTCCTGCCAACTCGGGAGGGCCAGGACTCCCTCTTGTCCCAGGATCCCATCAGGTTCAAAGTGTATGTAGCCTCAGTTATGCCCTCTCTCTGTGTTTCTCCACAGAGGTGACAGGTGAGATGCAGGTTCACAGCAGCTCTGGCCAACCCTGCAAAAACAAACCCAATGCTTCTGGGTCTGGTTGAATGAGCCCCAACTGCACTCTAGTTAAGAATATTGCAGGCTAACAGCAGGCCGTGAGGAGTGAGTTTGAGGCTTTGTAGAGGCTCCAGACCCGGGAGCGGGTCTCATTAAGCCATGAGAGGGTGTGGGTGGCACAGCTGTCTGCCTCAGGAACACGGGGCAGAGGCCTGGCTCACAACCCTGCCAAGGTGGGGTGCCTCCAGGAGTGGACCGTGGTCCCCAGACCCAGCAATTAGGAACGTCAGTCTCTGTGGTCACCCCTGTGGGGGGCAGATCTTGGAAATGCAGCCCCAGGAGGATTAGCACAGAACCTCCCTTCGACACCCAGGAACTTGGCACTGTTAGCAGGGTGGGCACAGTGGCCCCATAGCTGGCCAGGTCATTGAACTAGGTGCCATTTCTGCTTCCCAACAAAGGCCCCTGTAGCTTGATCCCAGCTCTGCCTACCACCTCAAGCCCATCTTCTCCTCGGGGCCCCTCTCTGCCCGTCCCTTTGTGCCTGACTGAGCTGCTCCTTGCAGGCGAAAATGTAAGGAAAAAACAGATGACTGAAGAGAAGTAAAGAATGGGTGGAGATCATTGGCACACCCGTAATCCCAGCACATTGGGAGGCCAAGGTCAGCAGATCACTGAAGCCAGGAGCTCAAGACCAGCCTGGTCAACATGGAAAAACCGCGTCTCTACTAAAAATACAAAAACTAGCAGGCTTGGTGGCACTTGCATGCAATTCCACCTACTAGAGTGGCTGAGGCATGAGAATCACTTGAGCCCCGAAGGGTAGGATTGCAGTGAGCCCAGACGGGACCACTGCACTGCAGCCTGGGTGACAAAGCAAGATGTTGTCTTTTTTTTTTTTTTTTTTTTTTTTTTTTTAAAAAAAAGCAAAGAAAAAGAATGGGTGGGAATTAGATGTTTTGCAGCTGAATCTCAATCACAGACAACAGAGTACTTTGATACTTTTCCATCAGTAACTCAATAACTAGAGATTTCTGATGTATAAATCGCTAAAACAAGTCAATCAAATACAGAGGACACCAGAAAGTTTTCATTGAGGTTATTTCTGATATTTCTTGGTAACCGTCCCTGCAGGGATAACATTCTCATCACTGTAGAACTTTAGCTTCTCTTTCTGACTCTGTAGGACATGGGTCCCGTAAGGTCTCATTGACTCCACCTCCACATTTTCCTCCAGTCTTGCCCCCTGCTGTTATCTTTTTTCCCTCATACTGAGCACCTGCCTGAAGCAAAGAATTCTGTGCTTCCTGTAAGTTGCATGTGGCCTGGTCACAATCACTCATGCCAGTAATCCTGGCACTTTAGGAGGCCAAGGCAGGAGAATCCCATGTGCCCAGCAGTTTCAGACCAGCTGGGGCAACACAGCGAAACCCTGTCTCAAATGTTCTTTAATAAAATTTTAGAATTATTAAAAAAGGAAATAAGAAAAAACAAACATAACTTGCACTTACATACTAGATTTTAGTGTCCAAGTGCCTGGAAGAGAACTTTGGATTTATCAACCCCACTAGGCACGCCTTCCCTAGCAGCAAAGATGGAGCTCCAGTTCCTCAGACGGTGATGAGCCACAGGAAGGGCAGGGAGTGGGACCAGTGAAGATCCTCTTGGGCTGCCTGACTTCCCTCAGTGTACACATCAGCTCAGCCCGAAGTGGGGCGAAGATCTCCCAATCGACACGAACCAAGGAATTCAAACTCTCCTCAGGGGCAGGATACGTCTCCAGGCTTAACTTGCTCAGCCCACTGGTGTGGCGCAGCAGGTCCTTCAGGGTGTCCGTAGACATGCAATTTCTGCCAAAGTAGAAGGTGGTGAGCTGGGAGCAGCGGCTCAGGCCAGGCAGGATGGCGCTGAGTTGGCAGTAGTGGATCTGACAGCCCTCGAAGATGAGGGTCTTGAGAGTGGCAGCAATTTTCTCTAGCAGAGCTCCGAGGGGTTCAAGACTGATGCGGAACAGCAGCACGTAGCTGAGATTCAGATGCTTTAGGTAGCTGAGGCTTGGGTACTGAGACAGACACTTCATGTCCTCTTCCAATAGGTAGCCACAAGTTAACTCCAAGTTCTCCAAGGGGTTCTGGAGGCACCTGTGGAGATCAAGAAGTTAGTTCTGGGCAGTGATACCAGTTAGATGAAGGTGGTGGGGAATAACTGAAAGGGAAATGTCTGCTTCACCCAAACACAAGTTTATTCCCATCATGTGATGATGGTCCACATGCAAGTTGCTCTGTGATGAGGACTCTGATCATTCAGGGGCAGTCCTAGTTTAGCCTCAATCCTTTCACCATTGCTTGTGTGATTGGTTCAAGGCCACAAAATCACATCACTAAAGCCTCTTTTCTTCATCTTTTAGCAGAAAACTTCATCTCTGGGCCACAGGTACCCGGTGGGAGATGTGCATGAAGAACTCAACTGAGCAAGGTCTAGGGTCATCAGCTAGGGCTACCTACTGGCAGGGGCTCCCTGACGTGCCTGCATCTGCAAACCACCTATCACTTTTTACCACTCTCACGCCTACTCCCTCAGCCTCCATTCAAGAAGCACACATTTCCCATGTCAGTTACCTTTCCTGGGGTTCAAAACAACCTTTTACAGACAGGGAATAGAGACAGGATCATTTGTGATCACTAAGCTGGTGAGGACAGAGTTTCTACTGTGAAATGCACAGGTTTGATGCGCTGTCCCTCCTTTCATACCCTCCTCTATTACCTCTTTCCTATCATATCAACTTGAAACACACTTTGTAACAAGAAATTCACATATGCACCCCCCAGTAGAGCTGAAACCCCCACTACCTGGCTTGTACATGATGTAGCTCTCTAGCCTCTACCCCAGGTGACCCCGCTGCCCTCATTGCAGAGATCCTGTGATAGCCACTCCGGAACATGGAGCACTGAATGGGACAATGTGTTGATATTCTGGTGTCCCCTTCACTGTGATGTCACCACTGGCTGACACAAAAGTTATGCCTTCTAGCGTTTGCTGTAACAAAAAAAGGCTGTGCTGTGGTCTTCAGAGAAAGTGCACGATCCTTTCTCACCTGATCAGCTGTTCCAGGTGCCCACTGAAGAAGGTGATCAATTTTACTTTAAGCAATTGGAGGTGTTCCAGCCTGAGGAACACAGGCTGAATTTGGTGAGTAACCATTCCTCGAGGTCATTGTCCGAAGAGTAATGATGGCACCTGGAGAAAACGAGTTTGCGAAGATTCTTCATCTCCTTCAGGTAACAATGAAGCTTTCTTATCAGATGCAGCCAGGACATGTTGTGAATTTCCAACTCCTGAATACTATTCAGGTGGACTATTTTCAATGACTTTCTAAGATATTTAATGGGTGTTAGATAATTCACCAACTTACTACAGCACAGGTGTACTAAAACTCTCCTTTGGTAAACCCACTGGAAGAGGTATCTCAGGCATTCATCTTGGGGTGTTTCCTTGAGGCAGACGTCTATGAACACCTTTAAGGGCTGGTGCTCTCCCATCCTTGGATAGTCCTCTGCTGTCTGCCTCTTACTCATGGCCTCTGGGGAGGAGGACAGGGCCTAGCCTCCAGGCCATCCAGCCCAGACATTCTCATCAACATCCAGCAAGTCCAGCACTTGAAGTTTCCACCTCCTATAGGTAAAGTAAGGGAGAAGCTCAGAATTTAGAAGGACCCATCCCTGACTTTTGCTTTCATTCTCATTGCTCCCTGTTCTCTCTCTGACTTTTCTCAGTCCGTTTTCTCTTTTGATTCATACTGCTCCCCACTTCTAGTCCCTTTACCTTCCACTGGGAAAAAGCAGGTTTCTGTTCCCACAGTGGACCCTGTATGGTGAGCAGTCCTTTCTCTGAGGATCTGGACAATGGCCAAAGCCTCCTTGAGCTTCCTCACCAGCACCATCAGAAGACTCTGGGCTACCCTGAGTCAGGCTGGAAAACAAGCCGCTTTATTGTATGTATGTATGTATTTATTTATTTATTTATTTATTTATGGATTTTGAGACCGAGTTTTGCTCTTGTTGCCCCGGTTGCAGTGCAATGGTGTGATCTCAGCTCACCGCAACCTCCGTCTCCTGCGTTCAAGCGATTCTCCTGCTTCAGCCTCCCGAGTAGCTGGGATTACAGACATATACCACCATGCCCAGGTAATTTTGTATTTTTAGTGGAGATGGTGTTTCTCCAAGTTGGTCAGGCTGGTCTCCAACTTCTGACCTCAAGTGATCTGCCCACCTTGGCCTCCCAAAGTGCTGGGATTACAGGCGTGAACCACTGCACTCAGCCTTAAGCCACTTTATATAGGGTTAAATAAACCCCCTCTGAGGGGACTTTGTGATTTGTAGAAGGTGACTCCCCAGGCCCTTTAGTTAGGAATTGCGGACCTTCATGTCCCAACTTCTCCTTTGGATGCAGAGAACCTAATTATAATGCATTTAAATGTAAAGCCTCAACCACCAGGTGAACCTGGGATGTATGTGACATGTATATTTGCTTACCATACATGCATGCATCCCCCACCCTGTGAATTTTCATAGCTGCTCCAATGACCTGCTGAATATGCACACTTGGTGGCCAACAGGTTCAGCATAGATTCCTGGGTCACTTTCCCTCCCTCCAAGCGCTTGCCTCAGGTCCTGCCTGGAGGCCCATTTCCCAGCGAGCAGGTTGTAAACCTTTAGAAGAAATTACGCTCCTTTTTTCTAAATCTATAGACCCCATAATTTTTAGTGGACCTCACTGGTGTTAGAAGTGGGATTCAAAGGGGACCTCCGATCTCTTCCTGATGCCTCCAGAACCAATGCATCCTGCACTGGCAAGAGTCCCGTGAGCTCTTCTCGATTGCGCCATGGGAAGGCCTCGGGTAAGTCTTCCTGAATTCAGATGTCCAGCTCTTAGGTGGAAGATCTCAGAGACTTTAATTCTTCCCAGCTGGTTCTCTCCAAACAGTTTCTGGAGGGGACCTTCTCCATCAGTTCCAGGTTTTGGGACCCATGGTGCCTTCCCTTCCCTGTTCCCTCTCAGTCCCTGTCCTGGCTCCCTAATTGGGATCTTGGAGGGAATCTCTTTGTTGGTCCTGGGTTTGAGGAGACTCTTCCAGTTCCCTCCATCTGGACTGGATAGAAGATTCCTCTGAGGACCCCTGCCTAGCAGGGAGACATTCAGGTCAGACTTCTTGGGTCCATCAGGTTTGGTGAAGATGCTCGCCCTCTAGTGGTGCTTACAGGGACGCCTGTGGTAGGTAAGTGCAGTTATGAGGGCCCTTAGTTCCAAAGGGACAGACTCAGACCAGTGGCCATCAGGAACTCCGGTGACTCTTTGTTTAAAGACTGTGTCCTGTATTACATGGGGGGAAATCTATAAAAAACAGATGAAGTTCATCCATGTGATGACGGCACTGCCGTGACACACAGGTAGTGACCCCGGCAAAAGGAGGGTGACTTCATCCATATTCAACGTGTTTATATTATTGGTGGCAGCTCATGTTGACTGCCCGACATTTGCATTGTAGTGGCTATAAAGTGATTTCTGAGCACTATGTGATCAATAAGCATTTACAGCCACCTGCCAGGTTCCATGCTCTGCTGTGGGACCACAGGGTGACAGAGACACAGTCCCTGCCCTTGAAGAAGCAGTCTCTGTCTACATGAGATTGTCAAGGAAAAAATCATTATCAAACACAACCTAGGCACATGGTCCAGCAGCCACGCTCCTTGGCATTTACCCAAATGAGAAAACCTAAAACCTGGATGTTTTTAACCACTACATTCATAATAGACAAAACTTAATAGGGACCAATATATTCTTCAGCAGATAAATGGATGAATAAACTGTAGCACATCCTGACAGTGTAAATTATTAAGCCCTAAAAGACATAAAAAAAACTTAAATGCACATAACCAAGTGAAAGAAGCCAACATGAAAAGGCCACATGACATTCTGGAAAAGGCAAATCTATGGACACAGTAGAAAGCCCAGGGGTTGCAAGGAGTCAGGGTAGAGTGGGATGGATAGAAAGAGAACAGGTGATTTTTTTAGGGCACTGAAGCTACTCTGCATGATGCTATAAGGGTGAATACATGTCATCCTCAATTCATCAGAACTCATAGAATATACAGCACCAGATGTGAACCCTTAATGTTAATTATGAACTTTGGGTGATAAGGATGGTTCGTGTGGTTCATGCATTGGAGCAAATGGACCACGCTGGGGCAGGACGTTGATCCTTTAGGAGTCCGCGCTAGAGTGGGGTCATGAAGTATGTGGGAATGATCCACTTTCTGCTCAACTTCACTGCAACCTTATAACTGCTCTAAGAAAATAAATCATATATCCCTAAAAATATTGCACTTCCTTCCAGCTCCAAAATTGTATAAACTTAAATATTTTTAAATAAGAGCAATTCTTATTCATTGATCTTCAAAATCAGTTTTGAAGGTGTCATTTTATTTGAGACTCAACACCACATTAAGCATTTTCTAAATATACTTCAAGTTCTGGGACACATGTGCAGAACGTGCAGGTTTGTTACATAGGGATACATATGCCATGGTGGTTTGCTGCACATATCAAGCCATCATCTACACTAGGTATTTATCCTAATGCTAACCCTCCCCCACCATCCCTACCCCCCAACAGGCCCCAGTGTGTGATGTTCCCTGTATCCATGTGTTCGCATTGTTCAACTCCCACTTATGACTGAAAACATGTGGTATTTGCTTTTCTGTTCCTGTGTTAGTTTGCTGAGAATGATGATTTCCAGCTTCATCCATGTCCCTGAAAATGACCTGAACTCATCATTTTTTATGGCTGCATAGTATTGAATGGTGTATATGTGCCATATTTTCTTTATCTAGTCTATCACTGAAGAGCTTTTGGTTTGTTTCCAAGTCTTTGCTATTAAGAACAGTGCCACACTAAACATACGTGTGCATTTGTCTTTATAGTAGAATGATTTATAATCCTTTGGGTATATACCCAGTAATGGGATTGCTGGGTCAAATGATATTTCCAGTTCTAGATCCTTGAGGAATCACCACACTGTCTTCCACAATGCTAGAACTAATTTACACTCCCACCAACACTGTCAAAGCATGCCTAATTTCTCCACATTCTCTCCAGCATCTGTTGTTTCCTGAAAAATATGGAACTTGTCACGAATTTGCACATCATCCTTGCGCAGGGGCCATGCTAATCTTCTCTGTGTCATTCCAACTTTAGTATACGTGCTGCCCAGGCCAACACAAACATTTTCTTTTTTTTTGAGACGGATCTCACTCTGTCCCCCAGGCTGGGGTGCAGTGGCACGCTCTCGGCTCACTGCAAGCTCTGCCTCCTGGGTTCATGCCATTCTGCTACCCCAGCTTTCTGAGTAGCTGGGACTACAGGTGCCTGTCACCATGCCCGGCTAATTTGTTGTATTTTTAGTAGAGACGGGGTTTCATCATGTTAGCCAGGATGGTCTCCATCTCCTGACCTCGTGATCCACCCATCTCGGCCTCCCAAAGTGCTGGGATTACAGTCGTGAGCCACTGTGCCCAGCCTACAAACCTTTTTAAAATATTGCACTACATACTTTAAAATACTAAATTCCCATTATAATTTAAAATTTCAATATACATATATTCAATATGTATAAAATTATATATATTCAATATGTATAAAATTATGTACGTAAATTTATGTAAAAATATGTATTCAATATGTATAAAATTATATATGAATCACAATATTTATTCTCTATAAACACTTACATAACAGCAGATTTTTGGAGATACCACTCAATATCATCCTGTTTGCATCAATAAATTACACCAGATGGTCTGACCAACCAGCAGATGGCACATGAGTCTCATGGGTTGGAAATTTTTATCTCATGATCACTAGAGATGAACTCAGTCCTGCCCCACCCATCCCAACCTCTGCTGGCTGCTGAGGCTCTGCTGTTTGGGGGAATCACGATTAAGTGGTGGTGGTGTGTAGAAGTTGAGTCCCATTGCCTGCCGTGGGTTTCTGCTGCCTCCCTATTATCAGGAATAGAAGGTGAGATTGAAGGGTGAAGAATGCTGGGACTTCTATTAGGAGGGGGAAAAAAAAAAAGAACAAGATGCATGTATTGAGCTCTTACTGTATGCCACGCCCCATTCCAAGTCCTGACCATACACCATCTCATTGGGTCCTACGATAGTCTCATAGGGTGGTGGCATCATCATCTTCATTTTACAGGGAAGCTGAGCCTCTTGGCTGTTTCGTGCCCAATAGCACCAGCCCCTGAGTCCTCGGCAGGGTTCTACACTTAGGTGCCCTTTGTGTAGGGTCCTTCAGCACAGGTGTGGTCATTAATTACCCACAGGCACTTGATCATTATCCACCCTCTAAGGATGTGTGATTCCTACTACCATGCACTAGTCTTCCTTCACAGGGAGAAAAAGGAGGAGTTAAGAAAAGGTCTTTCATTGATGTTACAGGTATTATATGCCTACATAATGTCAGCATTTTGCTGAAAGGGAATTTGGATGTCTTTATTGGCCACAACTACTTTAATTCAGCAAGGGCCGCTACCCACCATGACAGGCATGGGTTAGTGATGCCCTGAGGCTCCTGCTCATACAGTGTGGAGCTCCCCTTCCAGGGCAGGGCCACGCCTTGGGCAGTGAAGTCCTTTCCCAGCACAGGTAACGGTCAGGAACTGAGAGCTCTGAATCCACCCATTGAGAGTGAACAGGGTCTCGGCATCAGGACAGAATGAGGGCACCTGAAGGGGCTTAACTTAAGTGGCTGACACTCACTTTGCACTTAGAATGCTTCAGGCCCTGTGTGCGTCTCTCATGTGCCACTAAATAGGCACAGAGAATAGCAAGAAGGTAACAGGAGGGGGATTGATCTAAATGATCAAATTCCATTTTGATGGTTTGATTTCCAGGAGCTGAACCTCATCAGTCACAGACAAATCAGTGCCTTATTAGCTCGATCAGTAACTGGACTTTTTTAGGTTTAAATTGTTTAATTGTTAAGCCATGTTAAGCAATTACGGAGGACACCAGATAGTTTCCACTCAGTTTCCCTTTATTTCTGACTGTTACTTTACAACCATCTGTGCAGGGGTAACCCTCTCATGTGTCTCTCCTCCCTGATTCTCACTCTAGCAATTCAGATTCCCATTTCTGATTCTCTGGGACACAGGTCTCTAAAGAGCCCATCCACTCCAAGTCAACTTTTCCCCCAGTCCTGCCCCTCCTGCATCCTCATTCCTTTCCCATTCACACTGAGGAGGCATTTGAAACGATGGGTCTGTGCTCCCTTTAACATGCACTCATGGCCTAGGTTTCAGCTCCGAAATGACCAGAAGAAAGCTTGAAATATATCCACCCTGATGGCAGGCATTCAACAGAGGCAGTGACTGGGCTCCAGGTCATAGGAGGCCCTGATGCCACAGCGAGGGCAGGGGACGGTGCAGAACACAATGATCTTGGGCTGCCTTAAGTCCCTCAGTGTGTTCATCAGCTCAGCCCCAAGTTCAGCAAATCTCCCCCAGCAGAGAGCTCCCTGGGTGTCATAACTCTCCAGAGGGGCAGGATACAGCTCCAGGCTTAGCTTGCTCAGCCCGACGGTGTGGCGCAGCAGGTTCTCAAGGGCAGCCATGGAGATGAGGTTCCCACAGAAGCTGAAGGTGCTGAGCTGGGAGCAGCGGCTCAGGACAGGCAGGATGGCGCTGAGTTGGGAATCCATGATCCCACAGTCCTCTAAGTCCAGGGTCTGCAGGGTGGCCACAACTTGCTCCAGCAGACCTGTGAGGGGCTCAGGGCTGAAATGGGTCAGCGTGACACCCCTCAGGTCCAGCTCCTTTAATTGACGGATGCTCGGGCACCAAGAGAGATGCTTCAAGTCCGACTCTGACAGCAGGCAGTCGGTCATAACGACCATCTCCAAGGAGGCCTGGAGACACCTGGGAGAGAACAAGAAGGAGTTAGAGGAGAGAGGTGGGGATGACTTCAGGGTGAGAGATGATGCTCTCCATAACCCAGGGCTGCTCTGCTCATCTGAGGATAGTCAGCACCTGGGGTGTGGGAATGGAGACTCTGTTCCTTCAGTGCAGTCCCAATCGAGGCTCAGTCCTTCACCATCACCGAGGTGATTGGATCAAGTCCATGAACTCTAAGTCTCCCTTTCCTCATCTGTCAGGTAGAAAACCACATCTCTGGGCCACAGGAGCCCGATGGAGACACAGGCATAAATGACAAACCCAGGCAGGATCCTGCAACATCAGCTGGGTTGGCCAGGTTGCAGGAGACCCTGACATGCCTGTACCATCAGCAAACCATCTATCACTTTTACCATTCTTTGCTCCTGCTCCCTCACCCTCTATTCTATCATCATGTATTTCCCATACATTAATTACCTGACCTGGAGCTCAAAACAGGGTGCTGACAGGGAAACATAGGATTTTGCCTGTTCACTAGGCAGGTGAGGATAGACCTCATATTTTAAAATATAGGAGTGGGATGGGCATTCTCTTTAGTGCCCTCTTCACCTCCCTATTTCCCATCATCTTAACTTAGACACACATCCTCAGGAGGAATTCACAAATGCACTCTCGCCAGATCTAAACCCTGCAGTAGCTAGCTTCCTAGCTTGGCACCTTCTCTATAGCATCTAGCCCAGGAGATCCCTCTGACTTTATTGGGATGGTTGTGTGATACCCGTATCAGGACAGAGCCACCAACAGGATAATGCATGGATATTCTAGTGTCCCCTCACTCTTACTTCCTCACAGGCTCACAGTGCATACCCACTGGTGTTTACTGTAACAAAGAAAGGCTCTGCTGTGGTCTGAAGAGAAAGCTCACCATCCTTCCTCACCTGAGCAGCTGGTCCAGGTGGCCTTCGAGGAAAGAGACGGAGTGCATAGACAGATTCTGGAAATAGTCCAGCTTGAGGAACTGAGAGGTGAATCGGGCAATGAACTGCCCCTTGTTGTCTGGGGGAATGCAGGCAGATGCACGGATGTTGAAGAGAACAAGTTTGCGGAGATTCCTCATCTGGCCCAGGTAAGGGGCAAACTTCACAAGAGTGGACAGCTCCCAGGGGCAGCACACTTCCACCTCCTGGATACAGTCAAGCTCCACCATGTTCAGGACCTCTATGATACTGTGGATGGGCATTCCAAAAACCTGCAGCTCCTTGCAACACACATGCAGTAAGCCTTTTCTCTGCTTGCCCCACTCTAAGAGGTGGGTGAGGCATTCATCTAGTGTCCTGTTCTTGAGACAAAGGTCTATGAACACCATGAATGGCTGCTGCCTGCCTGTCCCTGGACAGTTATCTGCTGTTTGCTTCTGACTCAGAGCCTCCGGGAAGGATGCAGTAGCTCCAGAAAATATGTCGCAGAAGTTCTCATCCACATTCCTCAAGTCCAGCACTTGAAGTTTTGACTGCCTGTGGGTAAAGGAGAAGAGAGGCTCCAAACTAAGGCAAGGACCTGAGCTTTTATTTACATCCCAGACATCAGCTGTTCTCCTCTCTGCCACTTTTCCCTCTCTGATTTTGTCCAACCCCTTTTCCCTCCGGATTTTGCCTCATCCCCATTGCCTGTAGCTTTCAGAGCCACTAGAAGAGAAGTTTCTGTTTCCTCAGTGGACCCTGCATGGTGAGCAGTCCTTTCCCAGAGGGGCTGGGCAATGGCCAAGGCCTTCCTGAGCTTCCTCACTGGCACCATCAGAAACCTCTGGGCCTCCATGGTGCCCCTCCTCCTCCTGAAACAGCTGTCCCTACCCTGGACAAAAGGGCCCTCCCCACCTGGACACCTGGGTCACCTCACCTGGGGCGAACCTCTTGGGTCAACAGCACATCAACCCCTTCCAGCACAGATTTTAATGACTCCAGATGAGGCGACTTCATCAGGGACCCTAGAGGGAGGCGGGTGAAAGGCCAGGCCTGCACCATTGTTTTCAGGGTTTCACAGCGTCTCCTGCTGAAGGCCTCCATGAACAGTGTGGGGAAGAGCTCCCTGGGCAGCTCCTCCATGGTGGAGATGGCCAAGGCCTGGTCCCTCAGCAGCCTCTGCCTTGCCAGCTCCAGGAGTCTGGGTGGGGCCCTGATGCTCATCTTGATGAATCTGCAAGGGAAAACTCTAGAGGACAAATCCAGAGAAAAGGCATCACTCTCAGGCCAAATATGATCACCTCATCTTCTCCTATTGCTAATCTCATTGCTCTGGTGGAGGTGGAAAAGCCCTCAATTCCCCCCAGTTCCATTCTGCACTTGGTGGCCACAAATCTGTATCTGTGCCCCTGTGACTACCACAAAGAATGTCTTTCAAACACCAAGGAGGGGACGAGGTGGCCAGTGGCCCATTAATTTCTATACATTGCTCCACTGAAACTCAGGATTACTGGGATCTGTCACTCAGGATCCTGAAAGCTAAGCTCCACCTTTTTGAGGGAAATTTTTTTGTTACTTACCACCCAAAAACAATGAGAATGACTGTCCTGTGGCCCCACACAGCCTGCATTCTCAGTTTACACAATTAGCATGCTTGGGGAAGACTGAAGTGACTCCTTAAAATCAATGCCACTTGTTTTTATTTTGAAAAATTATAAGAGAAACTATAAAAGCAGTGTGGCAGTATTCTAGAGCACTTGGAAGGTGCGGGTGGAAACACTAAGTCTCAGATGAAGGATCCAATACTCATCCCTTCTACATACTCACAATCACCCACTTAGGGACAGAGTCTAAGGGCAGAGATAAATCCCATGTTCAGAACAAGACTCGAGAAAATCACAATACAACTAAGTGTGTGAACTGTAGCTGAAGGGCACAGAAACAAATAACTTCACATGTCAAGACATAAAAATTCATCCAACTGTAAATTTTTAATATCTTTTTTAAAAAACTGCTTCAATAAGAATTTTGAAATGAGAAAAATGAAGCAGAAATCAAAATTTGAGGGATGAAGTGAATACTATATTTAGAGGAAAAATCAAAACCTACATCTGTTAAATTGAAAAAACAGACAGGAAATTCTCTGTGCCACTTTGGGCTGTGTGTCACCATCCCTGACTGGCTGGCTGCAGATCAGATGGGCATGTTCCTAAGGAGGTGGTGACTTACCAGATCTGGACTCAGTTTGTAGGGTGCTGGGATCTCTCAGAGAATCAAGCAGTAGTTCCAGGCACCAGGGCTTTGGGTCTCTCCTTTGCAAACTCAGGAGCTTTTATTGATGTTTCTAACCACACCCTCCCCTTCTCAATCACCAGCTTCCAATCAGAAAGTGATACCTGATTAGATTCCGAAGTTCCACCTAGTTAGTCCTGATTGAGTTTTACACTTTCTTCTGATTCATTGATTAAATTAGATGTGCATTTATGAAAGTGAAAGAATAAATAACAGGGTGAAAGTCCAAAACTCATTAATTCATTTATTCCCCAAACACTGATGAAGTTTGACTAATATGTGACCTTCATAGAGACATGGAAGGTTTAATCTGTTCCTGACATTAGAAAGAAAAAACAAAACCTGATGATATCTTTATGGGAAAATCTGTGGCCACATCGAAATTATCAAAACGTTTCGTTAAGACAGTTAAAACAGCTTTAAAAAGACAGTGATGTCCACCCTAAGAAAACGGATTAAAAAGCTCCTTTATCCAATGGTCACCTGGGTTTTATGTTTTATAACAGGGCAGGTCATATGTGGGTTCAGGTTGAAAAGGGGACCACGGAGGGTGTGATTGATCACAAGACTAAGGTCAAGGCTTCACTGAAGGAAATCAGGACAGAATGACAAAGTGAGGTGGCGGCTGGGCAGGATGGGACCGGGTGTTCTAGTAGAACCCTGGGAAGGAACCAAGACAGCATAAAACATGGTGGGTATTTTGTGGGCATCTCCACAGAAGGATTGAAAGACTCTGTCTAGATTGAGTTTAAAAATTAAAAAGGGAATAATTACAAAAGAGACAGTGCAGACTCTTCAAACACAACATTGTCTTTGAGGGCAGAGGAGGCAGATACAGTCTTGGCCTCTACTACAAGGGAAAGCGTGTTTACTCCCAAAAATGATGGGCTCGCCTCGGAAAATCAGCCTGGGAAGATGGAATCTGAGAATGTGAGCTGGGGCAGATGCCAGAGGAAGGAAGGAAGGAAGGGAGGGAGGAAGGAAGGAAGGGAGGGAGGGAGGGAGGGAGGGAGGGAGGGAGGGAGGGAAGGAGGGAGGGAGGGAGGGAAGGAAGGAAATGAAAGAAAGAAAGAAAGAAAGAAAGAAAGAAAGAAAGAAAGAAAGAAAGAAAGAAAGAAAGAAAGAAAGAGAGAGAGAAACTCAGCCTTCCTGTCTTTAAGAACGGTGCACACATCTGGTTGTATTGTGTGCAAATGTACAATACATTTCCCCAACAAAACCTGGAAGCTCTATTTCATGTTAAAAGATCTGCTAAGTTCAGGGATGGCTCCCATCCTAAGCAGGATCACACAGTCATTCTTCTGCTATTTTAGGGCACAAAGTAGCAAGAACGTCCCCCGCCTCCAGAAAGTCCTCCAGGCCTTTCTCTCCCATTCCATATGAAACCCAAACAGCCCGGAGATGCCACTGGCTTCCAAAACTGAAGTACTTTGAAGGATGTTCTCCATCATGGAATATTTCTGTAAATGTTCTTTCTCCACATTTCTGACCTCACTATCAATGCCCTGCTATGTGTGCAATCGAGTTAAACTGAAACGTGCTCAGTGCGGCTTCTACTTCACCTGCCCTCACTTTGTGAGCCTGAGGCTGAGGGTGAGCTCAGCACCAAAGGTGATCCTGAGTGTCTCTGTTGATTGAGCATGCACAAGGCACAGCAGGGACTGGTACCATTCATCCAAGATCTCAGCTCTCCCTCACGAGGAATCTAAGGCATGTTGCTATATTCCTCATTTTTAAAGTGGTGACCCTGAGACTTGGCTAGGGAGAGGAACCTGCCCGTGTTCAGGCAGCAAATGATGGACAGACCCCTCTGGTGAGGAGCTCAGAGGATCCCCTAAGGAGTTCAATAATCTAAATGTTGAAAAGAACTGATTGACAGACTTTCCCTTCCTGCCCAATTCAGAAGGTCCAGCACCACCCCCAGGACCCCAGTGAGAATCCCGCACTTGGGGGCATTTCTACCATGTCCTGTCACCTGTTCTTCTCAAGGTGCTCATCTGCTGTCAAACTCAGAGCATCCTTCAGAGCCCCTCTGAGAAGATGACCTGACCCCTTCTCCACTCACAGAATCTCCACCAGAATACCAAAGCTCCCCCAGGCACTTGCTCAGGGTCTCTAGAATATTTCTGAGCTTCTGTTTCCCTCCTGCAGACTGAGCTGTCAAGGCAGGTATCTCTTTATGCATCCTGGATACCTCAGCCCAAATCTCCTGAACAACAGAACATGGCCACAATGCTGGGAGACCTTCACCCCAGAGCAGTCATTGAGGAATTCTCCCAAAATTCTATTGAGCTATTTTGGTGAACATGAGAAGCCATAAAGCAGGGAGTTCCTCAGCTGCTGCTCTGGCCCTAAAGAGGCCCCTGGGACAGGACTGCTGGAGGGTGACCCTGCCTGGCACGCAGAAGGAGACCTGAGTCCTCTGGTCTTCCTATGGGTGCCAGGCTGAGAAGAGGTCCTGGGAAATGTCTCGGTGCAGGGGCCATCCCTTCCCAGGCTCCCCTGGGTCAGCCTTAGAGCTGACAAGGCTGCACCTGGAATGCAGTCAGTCTGTTTCTGTCCAAGTCAGGTCTCTTCTTAGCCTGAGCTGTTCACCCTCTGTGCATTTCTAAGAGTCAAAATCTCTGTTCTGGCCCTGTTGCCCTTCTCTGGTCCTCAACCGGGTCTGATTCCAGGTCAGATTCATGCACATCGTGTGCTAAAGTAGGGGCTTCCTCTCTTTCTTCCTCCAATCAAGTCTGAGGACAAGGTCACCCTGAAAGCAGACACTTGATGCTGAGGGAGGTGCTCAGAGCCTGGGGTGGGAGGAGGTCTGCACCCTCACTCCAGGCTGGACAGAGCCAGAGGGACTGAAAGTAGGAATGGGGCCAAGAAGGGGAGTGATCAGAGGAGCTGATGGGGCTGAAATAAAGGGGAAGGAGGGAGGTGGCAGCAGAGCAGGCAGCCAGGTTCTCTGGCTCTCATAGAGCTGTGTCTCTGAAAGGCAGGGACTTGTGTCTGAGACCGTGGGGCACTGGGGCTTGGACTTGGGTCTGTGAGTTCCCAAGACACTTTATGTGCCCTGGTCTGCATGAGGTTTTAGTGGCTGCCCCATCCTGCCCCAGGGGCACAGAGTCAGGAGAGTGGGGAGTCCCAGGAGAGGAAGAGCGGGTGGCGAGTGTCCATCCTGGATCCAAAGACAAGCAGCAGGTCAGAAGGAAGCAGCTGTGGCTTGAGGCCAAGGAAAGGATTCTCTTTGGAAATCGTGCAGCTCCATCTTTTCACTGGTCAGAGCCTTATGGGACGGTGAGGACTGGGCTTTTCAGGAGGGAATGAAAAAGAATGGGGTCTGGCTCAGAGTCCCTGACATCCAAGTTATTCCAAACCTCCTCTGACAAGCAAAGGGAAAATCATGGAGGATGGAAGTCAAACCAAGGCTCACATGGCTGCCCAGAGCTTTCCAGTGGATCCAGAGAGGGCACAATGATCCTCAGTCAGAAAAGTCCTCCAATGTCCAGCACTGAGGCCCAACAAGAGTGCCTGGAGGGGACTCTCTGTGACATGTCTGAAGAGAAGATTCTGGCACATGTGACTCCTCCCACACCCTCTGCCTCCCCCTGACTCCTCTCCCCTTGATTCATTCAAAGACCTTCACTGAGCACCAGGGATTGCTTCCTGCAATTCCGGGTGCTACCAGGGAAGATGAATAAAATGCAAGGAAGCTGGAAAATGAACTCAGCAGAGGACACCAGGCTCAGCACTGCAATCCCGGTCAGAAAAATAACTCTGCAGGCTGCGCGGTACAGAGCGATCATAATAACCCATGGGGATAATCACAGGTGTCCCAAATCCTTTAATCACTTTTTGTTGGAATATGAAGAGGTCTCTCACTGCTGAATATAAATATACAGGGAAGTGAAAAACATTAGTAAAACGAACATTTACTAAGTGCAATGTGACTCAAAGCACTGAGAAGCCAAGGGTTTTATTTCTTTGAAACAACTTGCCAAGGCAGTTTGAACAGTGATCATCTTCCTCCTGGGCTCAGCACCGCAGAGGCAGCTGGTGTCTTCTCCACCTGGGAGAGTTGTCCTGCTTTTTTTTAAGTTGGGATAGGCCAGTGAGTCGGGAAGTTTGTTCATCTTGGGCTTGGGGTACAGGAGGAGTTGGTGGGGTGCCTGTGGCCACTCCACTGCCCTCTGGGATTAGGAGGAGACAGTGGGGTCAGGACTCACCCCCTGGCCTGTGCTTCAGGTGATCCCTCTCTGTCCTGTGGATGTGGGGTTGGGAGCAGGTTTGGGGTCCTCGCCTATCCCCATTGGCTCTTCTTGGGAAGATGAATTTATGGGGCACCTGCAGGTGGCCACGTGTGGGAAGGAATCTCAGAACTTACATGGATCCATGCAAATGAGGCTTCCTTCAGGCAGACACAGGAACTCTGAGCCTCCCTGATGCTGCAGGCACCTGGGTTTGGGGACCCTCTTGGAGACAAATGCATGGAGCGTCCCAGCAAGTTTCCCTGTCTCCCAGCTCCTCCCTGGGCTTCTGCATCCGGGAGTCAGGGCCGGATCAAGAGAAGCCCTGCGGGGAGTGGGAAGGACATAGGATTCTCAGGGTCTCAAGTTCAGCTTTTAACATTATCCTCAAAGGTGGGGTTTTTCCCAGAGGCCTCCTTTCCACAGATCCCATGCCTTCTTGCTGGACTCACGGGAAACTTGCCCTGCTAGAGACATGGCATATTTTACTTTTCTGTGCCATGGAGCCATGCTGGAGAGCTGTGACTTCCTAGCTGACCACACACACACATAAACATGTAAACACCATGAGGTCATTGTAGGGATGCCCACTGGGCCTGCGGTTCTCCCATAGCACCCAGTTCATAAAAGCCTCCCTTTCACTCACCTGGGGCCTGGAGTCATTGGCCTCCTCCTGTCTCATTGATCCAGCATTTGGCCTTGACTGGCCAGTGACTCAGACCCCAGCAAGAAGGACAAAATGACTAGTTCACGTGCTTTAGGGGAAACACAGAGAGAATGAGAAGACCAGTGTCTGAACTGGCAGGTTGTGAATTGGCTCAGGGAGATGAGACTGGAGAGGTGCAGCCAGGGGCAAGGGTGACTCAGGGGTCATTGGCAGTTTGGGATTAGGGTTGTGAGGCCACTTGAAGCCTATCTTCCACATCCCCGAGGTGGCTGAGAGGACCGTGTTCCCTGGGGGGACAACCAGAGGGCAGGGACACGCTTCAGAAGATTCTTGCACTGTCCAGACAGGAGGTCCTGGTGTCCACTTGAGTGGCCATGGACAGCATAGGGACGTCCTGGAGGCAGAGTCAGCAGGACTTGCTCTTAATTCTTCCTGGGGTGGATGTGAAGCTTGTGTCCTGGCAGAGGGAGTGGTTGGCACAGGAGAGGACTCTGCCTTAGGGCTGAGTTATCCCCTGTGGCCTCAACTGTTTTCCTGATTATGCCTGTTGTCTTTGAATGTCAACAAAAGTAGCCAACATTTATGGAGGGTTTATTATGCCCCATGCTTTGGGCTCAGCATTTTTACCTGAAGATTGAGATTATCCTTCTACACATTTGATGGAGAAAGAGACACATTCAAAGAGAGAGGGAGAAATTTTCAAGGTCAGACAGCCTGTAAGTGGTGGGACTGGAATGACGGAATGTCTGTTTGTCAACATCTTTGGCGGTGACATGATACTGTCCCAGTCCCTGCAATCTGCTGCTCATTTTCATCCTTTCAAATAAAACTCCACAGTCAGAGGCTTGTGCAAGAGTTGGGGTCCAGAGCATCAGGTCTAATGTTTGCTATGTTTATATTCACTGCCAAATCTGTTATTCCAAAGAAATTTTACTAGTGAAATAGAAATACGTTGTCTGACAGCATTACCCCCTGTGATATGGTTTGGATCGAACCATTGCTCTCCAGCCTGGCAACAGAGTGAGACTCCATCTCCAAAAAAAAAAGCAATTAATTATAACAACACGTCCATTCACTCTCCAAAGTGTCTGGGACTGGACAATTAATTGTCAGGCCCTCTTCTGTAGCACCATACACTAGAGCATATACGTGGATTAAAATAAATACACACACAAAATGCAAGTATATATTCTTTTTTCATTATTATTATACTTTAAGTTTTAGGGTTCATGTGCACAACGTGCAGGTTTGTTACATATGTATACATGTGCCATGTTGGTGTGCTGCACCCATTAACTCATAATTTAGCATTAGGTATATCTCCTATTGCTATCCCTCCCCCCTCCCCCCACCCCACAACAGTCCCCGGTGTGTGATGTTCCCCTTCGTGTGTCCATGTGTTCTTATTGTTCAATTCTCACCTACGAGTGAGAACACCTATGAGTTTTGTTCTAGGGTTTTTATGGTTTGAGGTCTAACATGTAAGTCTTTAATCCACCTTGAATTAATTTTTCTATAAGGTGTAAGGAAGGGATCTAGTTTCAGCTTTCTACTTATGGCTAGCCAGTTTTCCCAGCACCATTTATTAAATAGGGAATTGTTTCCCCATTTCTTGTTTTTGTCAGGTTTGTCAAAGATCAGATAGTTGTAGATATGTGGCATTATTTCTGAGGGCTCTGTTCTGTTCTGTTGGTCTATATCTCTGTTTTGGTACCAGTACCGTGCTGTTTTGGTTGCTGTAGCCTTGTAGTATAGTTTGAAGTCAGGTAGCATGATGCCTCCAGCTTTATTCTTTTGGCTTAGGATTGACTTGGCAATGCGGGCTCTTTTTTGGTTCTATATGAACTTTAAAGTAGTTTTTTCCAATTCTGTGAAGAAAGTCATTGGTAGCTTGATGGGGATGCCATTGAATCTATAAATTACCTTGGGCAGCATGGCCATTTTCACCATATTGGTTCTTCCTACCCATGAGCATGGAATATTCTTCCATTTGTTTGTATCCTCTTTTATTTCATTGAGCAGTGGTTTGTAGTTCTCCTTGAAGAGGTCCTTCACATCCCTTGTAAGTTGGATTCCTAGGTATTTTATTCTCTTTGAAGCAATTGTGAATGGGAGTTCACTCATGATTTGACTCTCCATTTGTCTGTTAGTGGTGTATAAGAATGCTTGTGATTTTTGCACATTGATTTTGTATCCTGAGACTTTGCTGAAGTTGCTTATCAGCTTAAGGAGATTTTGGGCTGAGACGATGGGGTTTTCTAGATATATAATCATGTCATCTGCAAACAGGGACAATTTGACTTCCTCTTTTCCTAATTGAATTCCCTTTATTTCCTTCTCCTGCCTGATTGCTCTGGCCAGAACTTCCAACACTATGTTGAATAGGAGTGGTGAGAGAGAGCATCCCTGTCTTGTGCCAGTTTTCAAAGGGAATGCTTCCAGTTTTTGTCCATTCAGTATGATATTTGCTGTGGGTTTGTCATAGATAGCTCTTATTATTTTGAGATGCGTCCCATCAATACCTAATTTATTGAGAGTTTTTAGCATGAAGGTTGTTGAATTTTGTCAAAAGCCTTTTCTGCATCTATTGAGATAATCATGTGGTTTTTGTCTTTGGTTCTGTTTATATGCTGGATTATGTTTATTGATTTTCGTATGTTGAACCAGCCTTGCATCCCAGGGATGAAGCCCACTTGATCATGGTGGATAAGCTTTTTGATGTGTTGCTGGATTCAGTTTGCCAGTATTTTATTGAGGATTTTTGCATCAATGTTCATCAAGGATATTGGTCTAAAATTCTCTTTTTTTGTTGTGTCTCTGCCAGGCTTTGGTATCAGGATGATGCTGGCCTCATAAAATGAGTTACGGAGGATTCCCTCTTTTTCTATTAAGTGGAATAGTTTCAGAAGGAATGGTACCAGCTCCTCCTTATACCTCTGGTAGAATTCGGCTGTGAATCCAACTGGTCCTGGACTTTTTTTGGTTGGTAAGCTATTAATTATTTCCTCAATTTCAGAGCCTGTTATTGGTCTGTTCAGAGATTCAACTTCTTCCTGGTTTAGTCTTGGGAGGGTGTGTATGTCGAGGAATTTATCCATTTCTTCTAGATTTTCTTGTTTATTTGCGTAGAGGTGTTTATAGTATTCTCTGATGGTAGCTTGTATTTCTGTGGGATCAGTGGTGATATCCCCTTTGTCATTTTTTATTGCATCTATTTGATTCCTCTCTCTTTTCTTCTTTATTAGTCTTACTAGCAGTCTATTAATTTTGTTGATCTTTTCAAAAAACCAGTTCCTGGATTCATTGATTTTTTGAAGGGTTTTTTGTGTCTCTATTTCCTTCAGTTCTGCTCTGATCTTAGTTATTTCTTGCCTTCTGCTAGCTTTTGAATGTGTTTGCTCTTGCTTCTCTACTTCTTTTAATTGTGATGTTAGGGTGTCAATTTTAGATCTTTCCTGCTTTCTCTTGTAGGCATTTAGTGCTATAAATTTCCCTCTACACACTGCTTTGAATGTGTTCCAGAGATTCTGGTATGTTGTGTCTTTGTTCTCATTGGTTTCAAAGAACATCTTTATTTCTGCCTTCATTTCGTTATGTACCCAGTAGTCACTCAGGAGCAG
The DNA here is from genome assembly GCF_000001405.40 of Homo sapiens. Taxonomy (NCBI): domain Eukaryota; kingdom Metazoa; phylum Chordata; class Mammalia; order Primates; family Hominidae; genus Homo; species Homo sapiens. The sequence continues at coordinate 448,022 of NW_012132914.1, forward strand.
ATTGTTCAGTTTCCATGTAGTTGAGCAGTTTTGAGTGAGTTTCTTAATCCTGAGTTCTAGTTTGATTGCACTGTGTTCTGAGAGACAGTTTGTTATAATTTCTGTTCCTTTACATTTGCTGAGGAGTGCTTTACTCCCAACTATGTGGTCAATATTGGAATAGGTGTGGCGTGGTGCTGAAAAGAATGTACATTCTGTTGATTTGGGGTGGAGAGTTCTGTAGATGTCTATTAGGTCTGCTTGGTGCTGAACTGAGTTCAATTCCTGGATATCCTTGTTAACTTTCTGTCTCATTGATCTGTCTAATGTTGACAGTGGGGTGTTAAAGTCTCCCATTATTATTGTGTGGGAGTCTAAGTCTCTTTGTAGGTCACTAAGTACTTGCTTTATGAATCTGGGTGGGGCAACCCGCTCGGGTCCCCTTCCACAGTGTGGAGGCTTTGTTCTTTCGCTCTTTGCAATAAATCTTGCTACTGCTCAAAAAAAAAAAAAAAAAAAAAAAAGTATGAATCTGGGTGCTCCTGTATTGGGTACATATATATTTAGGATAGTTAGCTCTTCTTGTTGAATGGATCCCTTTACCATGATGTAATGGCCTTCTTTGTCTCTTTTGATCTTTGTTGGTTTAAAGTCTGTTTTATCAGAGACTAGGATTGCAACCCCTGCCTTTTTTTGTTTTCCATTTGTTTGGTAGATCTTCCTCCATCCCTTTATTTTGAGCCTATGTGTGTCTCTGCACGTGAGATGGGTTTCCTGAATACAGCACACTGATGGGTCTTGACTCTTTATCCAATTTGCCAGTCTGTGTCTTTTAATTGGAGCATTTAGCCCATTTATATTTAAGGTTAGTATTGTTATGTGTGAATTTGTTCCTGTCATTATGATGTTAGCTGGTTATTTTGCTCATTGGTTGATGCAGTTTCTTCCTAGCCTTGATGGTCTTTACAACGTGGCATGTTTTTGCAGTGGCTGGTACTGGTTGTTCCTTTCCACGTTTAGTGCTTCCTTCAGGAGCTCTTTTAGGGCAGGCCTGGTGGTGACAAAAATCTCTCAGCATTTGCTTGTCTGTAAAGTATTTTATTTCTCCTTCACTTATGAAGCTTAGTTTGGCTGGATATGAAATTCTGGGTTGAAAATATTTTTCTTTAAGAATGTTGAATATTGGCCCCCACTCTCTTTCTGGCTTGTAGAGTTTCTGCCAAGAGATCAGCTGATAGTCTGATGGGCTTCCCTTTGTGGGTAACCCGACCTTTCTCTCTGGTTGCCCTTAACATTTTTTCCTTCATTTCAACTTTGGCGAATCTGACAATTATGTGTCTTGGAGTTGCTCTTCTCGAGGAGTATCTTTGTGGCATTCTCTGTATTTCCTGAATTTGAATGTTGGCCTGCCTTGCTAGATTGGGGAAGTTATCCTGGATAATATCCTGCAGAGTGTTTTCCAGCTTGGTTCCATTCTCCCCACCACTTTCTGGTACACCAGTCAGACATAGATTTGGTCTTTCCACATAGTACCATATTTCTTGGAGGCTTTGTTTTTTTCTTTTTATTCTTTTTTCTTTAAACTTCTCTTCACACTTCATTTCATTCATTTCATCTTCCATCGCTGATACCCTTTCTTCCAGTTGATTGCATATGTTAATGAGGCTTGTGCATTCGTCATATAATTCTCATGCTATGGTTTTCAGCTCCATCAGGTCCTTTAAGAACTTCTCTTCATTGGTTATTCTAGTTATCCATTTGTCTAATTTTTTCCCAAAGTTTCTAACTTCTTTGCCATTGGTTCCAACTTCCTCCTTTATCTCGGAGTAGTTCGATCTTCTGAAGTCTTCTTCTCTCAAATCATCAAAGTCATTCTCCATCCAGCTTTGTTCTATTGCTGGTGAGGAGCTGCGTTCCTTTGGAGGAGGAGAGGCACTCTGAATTTTAGAGTTTCCAGTTTTTCTGCTCTGTTTTTTGCCCATCTCTGTGGTTTTATCTACCTTTGGTCTTTGATGATGGTGATGTACAGATGGGTTTTTGGTGTGGATGTCCTTTCTGTTTGTTAGTTTTCCTTCTAACAGTCAGGACTCTCATCTGCAGTTCTGTTGGAGTTTGCTGGAGGTCCACTCCAGACCCTGTTTGCCTGGGTATCAGCAGCAGAGGCTGCAGAACAGTGGATATTGGTGAACCGCAAATGCTGCTGTCTGATCTTTCGTCTGGAAGTTTTGTCTCAGAGGAGTACCCAGCTGTGTGAGGTGTCAGTCTGCCCCTACTTGGTGTTGCCTCCCAGTTAGGCTACTCGGGGGTCAGGGACCCACTTGAGGAGGGAGTCTGCCCGTTCTCAGATCTCAAGCTGCATGCTGGGAGAACGACTACTCTCTTCAAAGCTGTCAGACAGGGACATTTAAGTCTGCAGAGGTTATTGCTTTCTTTTGTTTGTCTGTGCCCTGCCCCCAGAGGTGGAGTCTACAGAGGCAGGCAGGCCTCCTTGAGCTGTGATGGGCTCCACCCAGTTCCAGCTTCTGGGCTGCTTTGTTTACCTACTCAAGTCTCGGCAATGGTGGGGGCCCCTCCCCCAGCCTTGCTGCCGCCTTGCAGTTTGATCTCAGGCTGCTGTGCTAGCAATGAGCAAGGCTCCGTGGGCACAGGACCCTCCAAGCCAGGTGTGGGATATAATCTCCTGGTGTGCAGTTGTTACGCCCATTAGAAAAGCGCAGTATTAGGGTGGGAGTGACCTGATTTTCCAGGTGCCATCTGTCACCCCTTTCTTTGACTAGGAAAGGGAATTCCCTGACCCCTTGTGCTTCCCAGGTGAGGCGATGCCTCGCCCTGCTTCAGCTCACGCACGGTGCACTGCACCCACTGTCCTGCACCCACTGTCTGGCACTCCCCAGTGAGTTGAACCTGGTACCTCAGTTGGAAATGTAGAAATCACCCATCTTCTGCATCACTTATGCTGGGAGCTGTAGACTGGAGCTGTTCCTATTCAGCCATCTTAAGTATATATTCTAAATACTTTCTATATACTTATATTCTAAGAGGTCACATGCAAATTCAAGGCTAGGTCAAAGAGTAGAGTGGCTATCTATGGAAAGGGGAGTGGAAGTGAATCATGGTAATAAAAATTAAGTATAGATATAGATAGGAATAGATAGACATACACACATATAGCTGCAAGAAAGGGGAATGTCATGGACCAATGATGTCAGTGAGCCATGTAAAAAGGCTACAATTCTTGTGATTGTGTGTCTGTTTTCAGGATGGGTTGTAGCTTACCTTTTTAGAAAGGCTGATGCCACAGCCATAGTGAATAAATGGTTATAAAATGTGTTTCCTTTCTGGGGCATCTCTGGAGAAATCTCCAGTGGTAGGAGAACTCCGTTTACTGGGCAGGTGATCACACAGATAAGATTTTTCAGATCCAATGGCACTACCATTAACTTCATTATCCTTGGTATTCTACAAAGGTCGAGTGAAGAAATGGTATCTTGAAACTAAAATTAGCTAAACTAACAAAGGAGACTGGGTTAATTTTTTTTTTTTTTTTTTTTGAGACAGAGTCTCTGTTACCCAGGCTGGAGTTCAGTGGTGCTATCTCAGCTCACTGCAACCTCTGCCTCCTGGGTTCAAGTGATTGTCATGCCTTAGCCTCCCAAGTAGCTGGGATTACAGGCATACCACCACACCCAGCTAATTTTTGTATTTTTAGTAGATAACGGGGTTTCACCATGTTGCCCAGATTGCTCAACTCCTGGCCTCAAGTGATCCACCAGCCTCGGCCTCCCAAAGTGCTGAGATTACAGGTGTGAGCCATCATGTCCAGCAAGACTGGATTACTTTAATGAAATTTTTACCACCCCCTATGGGAAAACACAGCCAGATCCCCCATAAGGTATTTTTTTTTCACCAACTGCAATCAGAAACACTGATAATTAAGTATTTACTGGAGAACCTATGCCTTTGATAATAGAACATTATGTATCCCCTGCACTTTTTAGCTCTGATCATGTAACCAGAGGATCAACTCCAACAGATTAGTCATTGCTTAAGTTGTTACAGGTGATGACGCAAAGCCCAAATTGCTCAGGCATGTCCGATGGGAAAAAGGTTTAACCTCTTAACTATTAACACAGCCAGGCGGACTGTTTGAATTGGCATCATCTGAAACCAGTTGGAGAGATGATGCAAGCTTGCTCCACCATCCCCAGATTGGGGAGACAGGTTTAGAACTTGTCTCCTATCTGCTTGTCAGTTAACTCTTTTTTATTTTTATTTTTATTTTTTTCTTTGAGACAGAGTCTCACTCTGTTGCCCAGGCTGGAGTGCAGTGGCATGATCTCAGCTCACTGCAACATTGGCCTTCCAGGTTCAAGTGATTCTCCTGCCTCAGCCTCCCCAGTAGCTGGGATTACAGGCATGCACCACCATGCCCAGCTAATTTTTGTATTTTTGTATATTTATTTATTTATTTATATATTGATCATTCTTGGGTGTTTCTCACAGAGGGGGATTTGGCAGGGTCATAGGACAATACTGGAGGGAAGGTCAGCAGATAAACAAGTGAACAAAGGTCTCTGGTTTTCCTAGGCAGAGGACCCTGCGGCCTTCCGCAGTGTTTGTGTCCCTGGGTACTTGAGATTAGGGAGTGGTGATGACTCTTAACGAGCATGCTGCCTTCAAGCATCTGTTTAACAAAGCACATCTTGCACCACCCTTAATCCATTTAACCCTGAGTGGACACAGCACATGTTTCAGAGAGCACAGGGTTGGGGGTAAGGTCATAGATCAACAGGATCCCAAGGCAGAAGAAGTTTTCTTAGTACAGAACAAAATGAAAAGTCTCCCATGTCTACTTCTTTCTACACAGACATGGCAACCATCCGATTTCTCAATCTTTTCCCCACCTTTCCCCCTTTTCTATTCCACAAAACTGCCATTGTCATCATGGCCCATTCTCAATGAGCTGTTGGGTACACCTCCCAGACGGGGTGATGGCCGGGCAGAGGGGCTCCTCACTTCCCAGTAGAGGCGGCCGGGCAGAGGCGCCCCTCACCTCCCGGACTGGGCGGCTGGCCGGGCGGGGGGCTGACCCCCCACCTCCCTCCCGGACGGGGCAGCTGGCCTGGCGGGGGCTGACCCCCACCTCCCTCCCGGACGGGGTGGCTGCCGGGTGGAGGGGCTCCTCACTTCTCAGACGGGGCGGCTGCCAGGTGGAGGGTCTCCTCACCTCCCAGAAGGGGCGGCGGGGCAGAAGCGCTCCCCACATCTCAGACGATGGGCGGCCGAGCAGAGACGCTCCTCACTTCCCAGACGGGGTGGCGGCCGGGCAGAAGCTGCAATCTCGGCACCTTGGGAGGCCAAGGCAGGCGGCTGGGAGGTGGAGGTTGTAGCGAGCTGAGATCACGCCACTGCACTCCAGCCTGGGCAACATTGAGCACTGAGTGAACGAGACTACGTCTGTAATCCCGGCACCTCGGGAGGCCGAGGCTGGCGGATCACTCGTGGTTAGGAGCTGGAGACCAGCCCGGCCAACACAGCGAAACCCCGTCTCCACCAAAAAAATACGAGGACCAGTCAGGCGTGGTGGCGCGCGCCTGCAGTCGCAGGCACTGGGCAGGCTGAGGCAGGAGAATCAGGCAGGGAGGTTGCAGTGAGCCGAGATGGCAGCAGTACAGTCCAGCTTCGGCTCGGCATCAGAGGGAGACCGTGGAAAGAGAGGGAGAGGGAGACCGTGGGGAGAGGGAGACCGTGGGGAGAGGGAGACCGTGGGGAGAGGGAGAGGGAGAGGGAGAGGGAGAGCAATTTTTGTATTTTTAATAGAGAGGGAGTTTCACCATATTGGTCAGGCTGATCTGGAGCTCCTGACCTTGTGATCCGCCCACCTTGGCCTCCTAAAGTGCTGGGATTACAGGTATAAGCCACTGTGCCCAGCCCAGTTAACTGTTAATAAATTTTTTTTTCCCAAAATGGAGTCTTGCTCTGTCACCCAGGCTGGAGTGCAGAGGTGCAATCTCGACTCACTGCAACCTCTGCCTCACAGGATCAAGTGATTCTTCTGCCTCAGCCTCCTAAGTAGCTGGGATTACAGACATGGGTCATCACACCCAGCTAATTTGTGTATTTTTCATAGAGACAGGGTTTCACCATATTGGCCAGGCTGGATTCGAACCCCTGACCTTGTGATCCGCCTACCTTGGCCTCCTAAAGTGCTGCAAATATAGGTGTCAGCCACCATGCCCAGCCTTTTTTGCTTTTCTATGCACTTAGGAGAGTGAGCCCATCGTTCAGTAACAATATGACTCAGTACTGCAAGACCTTTCAAAGCCTATTTCCAGTTGGTGAAGGAGGGTTTCGATGATCACTGGACCTTCATGCCCTACCATTTGGAGACTGCATCTTTTAAAATGACACCAAGGGAAATCTGCCCATGAGCAGCATTGGATGGGACCATACCAGGTGACTTAAAATTAAGGATAACCAAGGAACAAAGTCTTTCTTAGAAGCAGACATCATCACATGGTAGACAGCTTTTTTAAGAAAATGGGACAAAACTCCATTTGATCTCCTTCCACTGACTGAGACTTGGTTTTGTTTTGTATTAACACAAAATGATCAAGCCTACATTTTATTTTGTTACGTACTTTCACCAGTCAAAGCAAACACTTTCTAAGTTCTCCTATTCAAAATTTAGCCACTCTCACTAACCAAAGCAATTACTGGCTATGGAGTCATTTAGATGAATGGGAAGGATCACAACTAATAGTAGAACCTGCTCTCACACACGGTTGGTTAATATTGATAATTAAATGACTTGGCACTGAGCAGAAGCTATAGATGCAAATGGGTGGCCTATGACTATTGTTGATTTCATTACTTGTAACTTATCTCCATGCATAGGAAACATTAGTGTAACCGGGTCTAATCTAGGTAGTGTCCCAGACTCCCCTTGGAATCAAACTCTTTCATTTGACACACATTATGAAGACTGAAATGCTATAAGTATTGACATAGACACAGAATCAGAACATGACCATGTTATCCTCTGCCATATAATCAGAGAACTTACTGAAACTAGACATTTGTTCATTGGAAACTCGAGGCAAATAGAATGCATCTATAGCTCTACCATATGAAATAAACAATAGTTTCATTTATTGGATGCATCCATACTCAGCACATATTTGGAGAAGACCCTATTCATTCTTCAATGGAGATGACATGCAAGGATTATATAATAAAATTCATAAAAATATTTTTTCATCCCACCCCAGTTCAAACTGTCACCATGCAACCTGGTGTCAGTGGAAGGTAAGGCGCTTAAGGCAGAAATAATTAAATAAATCTTCATTGGAAGCTAAATGTGAGAATCAATGTGGAAGACACAGACCAACAAAGTGGGTGTGTTCCAAAGTCTGTTACAAGTTGGAATGCTTTTGTGAGAAAAGTTAAAAGAAGGGAATGAGACTCCTCCTATCAGCTTTTTTTTTAAATTTTCTTTTGTTTTACTGACCTGGCAAGGCTCAAATAGAGTTGAGTTTTTGTTTTGTTTTTGTTTTTTCCATTGGAAGGTACAATACAGAGGTTACAATCATTGACTTTAGCTGACAACATAACAAGTTAAACATTTTCCTTGCAAGACAACCAGTGAAACTTCATGATCAGAATCAAATCAGTGTCCTTCTCACTGTAAGTGGGTGAAGCTTCATCAATAATTGCAGAGTTTGAGGCACTCATGAACTCAAGATCAGATTCTTTACTCAGGGACAGAATGTAAGCCAATCATAAGACCTTCCACAGGTGGTTAATTTGGACTCCTGAAAAATGTGACCTGTAAGTTTTCACTGGCAATATGCAGGTGCACATATGACAAATAATAACCAGGACCTTTATATCACCCCCAGCTGGTGGGGAATGGGATCCTTTTGACCCTTTCTCTCCATAATACCAGGCTACTCATGTTGTGTGGCAATAAAATATATGGTCTACTTCACAGAGAAAGAGATTCTTTTTTAAAAAAAAAGGATTTTTATTATGAAATGAGCAAAGCAATGGGAATAGATGTGAGATTATTCAGGGAGGTAAAGGAAGACAAAGGTTTTGAAAGGAAAAATCAGGAGAATTACATACACTGTTTTGGAAGACTCATTCTTGGTCACAAGTATCAACACCAAGGGGGCCTCAGTGCAATGTTGGAAAGATTCCTCCTCCACGCCCTCAATAACCCCCAACATGTTTACCAAGTCTTGGTTCACTCCCCGGATCCCATTAAAACACACAGCTCAACCCTGACCAGCCTCCACCTTCACTTCCCTTTGTAATTTTGACATGACTTTTTTTACAGGACCATCAGGTTCCTATGCCTGCAGCACAGTAGCATACTAATATTCTGAGACAGCAGGGTTTGCAGCAGAGAGTTTAACGATCACAGGGTGGCAAAATGAAAAGCTGGGAGGAGACCCTCAAATTCATCTCCCCAAGAAGTACTGAGAGTTTTCAGAGGATCATGGATAGCAAGAGGCTGGAAAGTTGGTGCAGTTTGGTGGCAGTAAGAGGTATGAAGTCATCAGGATGTCAAAACTGCATTCCTTGGTGAGTTGGTGCCTTGCAGGGCCCTTCAGATCACCTGCCATCAGTAGCTTCACTGACATGCAGAACCTGAAAGAATATGTCAAATGAAAAAGTTAATGTTTTACAAGGCCTAAATTGTTGTCTGCAGGGCAGTTAAGGGCAACTGTAATCTAAGGTCTACATGATTTTGGGACAGCAGGCTGCCAGCAACCATGAGGAAGCAGGTCAGAGAGCAAGCTGACCTCATGATGAATGCTGAATGCACTGCAAGCTTGGTTTATGTCTGTTTCTCCCCCTCCCTTCTTCACTGATTAAATTTATAAAGTTTATAAGTATGGTTGCAATTTCTTCCAGAGTAACCTTAACCTAAGCCCTGAGACCACTCAGGTCCTCAGTGGCACCTCTCTTCCACCAGCAGGAGTGAAAAAATTGCTACCTTAGGTGATATAAAACCCACAAGACCATTCAATACATGGAGATTTTTATTTTGATTTTGTAGGGACGACTCCTCTGTTTTTATAAAGCTATTTTAACTATAAAACATTTTTGTGATTTTGATGTGGCCAAAGATCTCCCAACAATACTACTTTCAGATTTTAGTTTTCTGTCTAATATCTGGGAAAGATTAGACCCTTCCCTGCTTCAGACTCAGGACTATGCAGGTCACATATTAGTGAAATTCCATCAGTGTTTGTGAAGTTCACGAATGAATGAATTTTTTTTTTCCGACAAATTCTCCCTCTGTCACCCAGAGTGGAGTGCAATGGTGCAATCTTGGTTCACTGCAACCATTGCCTCTTGGGTTCAAGCGATTCTCCCACCTCAGCCTCCTGAGTAGCTGGATTACAGGCATGTGCCATCGTCCCTGCCTAATTCTTGTATTTTTGTAGAGACGGGGTTTCACCTTGTTGGCCTGGCTCGTCTTGAATGTCTGAACTCAGGTGACCCACCCAACTTGTCTTCCCAAAGTGCTGGGATTACAGGAGTGAGCCACCTTGCCCGGTCTTGAATGAATGCATTCTTGATTCCCACCCTATCCCTAACACTGTCAATTTCTTGATTCATGAACTTAATATGGATATCTGATATGAATGGATATCTGATTCAATCCATTAATCTGGGGAGAGCCAAAACCCCAATCAGGATTAACTGGGTGGAGCTTCAGAAATGCAATCAGATATCACTTGTTGATTGGAAGCTAGCAGTGGATACGTGGAGGGGTGTGGGTGGGAGTTGTGATTAGAAAGGTCAATAAAAGCTTCTAAAGACCCACAGAAGAGACCCAAAGTCTTCAAGTCTGGAGTTCCTGCTTAGTTCTTCCTGAGGTCTGAGCACCCTCCAAACTGAGTCCAGATCTGGTAAGTCACTAATCTCTCTGTAAGGACACTCCCAACTGACCTACAGTCAGCTGGTCTGGGATGGTGACAGTGCAGCCTAAGATGGCATAGAGTTATATCCTGTTTTGTTTTTTTTCTCATATGAACAATTTGAAGCTTTGCATTTTTTCCTCTAAATGCAGTTTTGTCTTTATTTCAAAAAATTGGATTGTGCTTTGGTTTATGTCATTTCAAAATTCTTGAAGGGAGCAGTGACTCATGCCTTTAACCCCAACACTTTGGGAGACCAAGGCGGGAGGATCATTTCAGCCCAGGGGTCTGAGACCAACCTGGACAACACGGCAAAAACCCATCTCTATAAAATATTCTTTATTGAAGGGGGGATGGAGTCTCGCTCTGTTTCCAAGGCTGGAGTGCAGTGGCACGATCTCAAATCATTGCAACCTCTGCCTCCCAGGCTCAAGCAATTCTCATGCCTCAGCCTCCTGAGTATCTGGTATTACATCCAACTGCCAACTTGCCTGGCTACTTTTTGTATTTTTAGTAGAGGTGGGGTTTCACCATGCTGGCCAAGTTGGTCTCAAACTCCTGACCTCAAGTGATCCACCTGCCTTGGCCTCCCAAAGTGCTGGGATTACAGCCATGAGCCACTGGTGCTTGGCCTCTACAAAATATACATATTTTTTAATTAGCCGGGCATGGTAGCATGCATCTGTCTTCCCAACTGTATGGGTTGCTGACATGGGAGAAACAATTGAGCCCAGAAGATTGAGGCTGCAGTGAGCCATGCTCATACCACTGCTGTACTCCAGCCTGGGCAACATTGCGAGGCCCTATTAAAGAAAAAAAATCTTAACCAAAGAGGATCTTTGACCTTAATTTTAAACCAATCACATCCTCATTGTAACTCTTCCACCCAAACGGAGACATGGGTGTGGAGGTGCATGCCTGTAATCCCAGCTACATGGAAGGCTGAAGCATAAGTATCACTTGAACCTGGGAGGCAGAGGTTACAGTGAGCTGAGATGGCACCACTGTACTCCAGCCTGGGTGATGAAGTGAGACTCAGCTACCCCGACACGAAAAAAATTAAATTATACCACCCAGGTGATCATTGGATTCATGAAGATTTCTACTGTGTTTTCTTAGGGACTGTCATGTCTATCTTTGTAAAACTGTTTTAACTCTGAAATATTTTGATAAATTTGATGTGGCCAAGGATCTCTCAACAAAGATACTTTCGAGTTTTTTTCTTTCTGTCTAATGTCAGGAAGAGATTCAACTCTTCCCTATCTCACACTCAGAACTACAAAGGTCACATATTACTAAAATTCCATGTTTGTGGAGTAAATCAGTGAATGAGTCCTGGACTTTCACCATATCCCTAAATATTTCACTTTCATGGATGAATATCTAATTTGATAGTTAATCTGGAAGAAAGACAAAAATCCAATCATGATTAACTGGATGGAGCTTAAGAAGTCTAATCCAATGTAGTTCTCTCTCTCTCTCTCTCTTTTTTGAATCTAGCCAATTTCCCAGGCTGGATTGTAGTGGTATAATCTCAGCTAACTGCAACCTATGCCTCCTGGGTTCAAGCGATCCTCCTGCTTCAGCCTCCCTAGTAGCTTGGACTATAGGCGCAGACCACTGCACCTGGCTAATTTTTGTAATTTTAGTAGAGGTAGTGTTTTACCATGTTGGCCAGGATGGTCTCAAACTCCTGACCTCAGATAATCCAATGCCTCTGCCTCCCAAAGTGCTGGGATTACAGGTGTGAGTCACTGCGCACAGCCAAAGTGGTTCATTTTGAACATGCGTAAGAGGTGTGTATTGGAAACATCTGTGTCTTGCGAATGATGCATAACACTGTCACACAGCTTTCAAAGCTTCTTGGTGAAATTTTCAATAATGAGTCCGGGAAGAGGATTACGCCTGTAATCCCAGTACTTTGGGAGGCCAAGGCGGGTGGAATGTTTGAGTCTAGGAGTTCAAGACCAGCCTGGACAACATAGTGAAACCCACTGTCTTTACAAAAAGTCAAAAAATAAAAGATTAGCTGGGCATGAGATCCGAGCTTCAGAGATCCTCGGTAACATTTCCCAGTGCTATGAGTTTATTGCAACAGTGGCTAATAATTCATGGACTAGGAGGGATCTTGCCTGCTCTTTAGAGGTTGGGACACACTCTTCTTGGTACCAGAAGGGCAGAACCATGCCTCTGTAGCCACTTATTGCAGAACGGAATTGGAGTAAACTGAGGGCTCTTTCACACGTGCTAGAGAAATGACTTTGGCCCTAGGAGAAGTGGGGCTTGCTGGGGAATGGCCCGAGAAACTTGCCTTTTCACTTGATTGTCCTCTAGAGTTTTTCCTCGGAGATTTGTCAGAATGAGCCTCCAGGCCCCATCCAGACTGCTGGAGCTGGCAGGGCAGAGCCTGCTGAGGAACCAGTTCTTGACCATCTTCACCCTGGATGAGCTGCCCAGGGAGGTCTTCCCTCTGATGTTCATGGAGGCCTTCAGCATGAGACGTTTTGAGGCCCTGAAGCTGATGGTGCAGGCCTGGCCCTTCCTCCGCCTCCCTCTGGGATCCCTGATGAAGACACCTCATCTGGAGACCTTGCAAGCTGTCCTGAGGGGACTTGATACACTGGTGGCCCAGAAGGTTCGCCCCAGGTGAGGTGACTCAGGTGGCTTTCGGGGAAGGGTCCAGGCATCCAGGGAAGGGACAGCTGGCTCAGGAGGAGTGGTGGGGTTGGGGAGCTAGGGTGGCTCAGAGGCTTCTGACGGTGCCCATGAGAGGCCTTGGCCATTGCCCAGATCCTCTGGAAAAGGTCTGCTCACCATACAGGGTCCACTGAGGAAACAGGAGCTTGCTTCCTCCCAGCAGAAAGTAAAGGTACTAGAAGTGGGTACCAGGCAGAATCCAAGAGGGAGCAGGATGGAGAAGAGACAGAAGGAGGAGCACTGAGGACAGGAGCAGCTGACTGATGTCCTGGATGTGGAGTGAAAGCTCAGGTCAGGGGTGGGTCCTTGCCTACATTCTGAGCTTTTCCCCTATGTTACTCATAGGAGGTGGAAACTTCAAGTGCTGGATTTGCAGGATGTTGATGAGAATTTCTGGACCATATGGTCTGGAGCCAGGGTCCTCTCCTGCTCCCCAGAGGCCATGAGTAAGAGGCAGACAGTGGAGGACTGTCCAAGGATGGGAGAGCACCAGCCCTTGAAGGTGTTCATAGACCTCTGCCTAAAGGAAAGTACACTGGATGAATGCCTGAGCTACCTTTTTGGGTGGATCCACTACAGAAGAGGCCTAGTGCACCTGTGTTGTAGTAAGGTGCAGAATTACTCAATGCCCACTTCAAGTTTCAGAAATCTATTGGAAAGGATATACCCAGACAGTATCCAGGAGTTGGAAGTCTGGAAAAAGTGCTCTCTCAATAAAACGGGAAAGTTTGCCCCTTACCTGAGCCAGATGAGCAATCTTCGTGAACTCTTTTTAGCCTTCGGTTATGAGCGTGAGTTGTACGTGAGCGTCCAGTGGCCGTGCATTCCTGACTTGGACTCTCCATTCCTCTGCCTGTACTACCCCCAGATGCTTTATATAAAAAAGATCAGTAATATCAAAGAGCACCTGGAGCACCTGCTCAGGTAAGAAATGATGGTGAGCTTTCTCTGCAGACCATACCACAGACTTATGTTCTTTTTCACAGTAAATGTTAGTGGGCATCTACTGTGTGCCAGCCACCGGTGATGTCATAGGGAATGGGACGCTAGAATGTCAACTCATTATGCTCTTCAGTGCTCTATATCCTGAAGTGGGTATCACAAGACCACTCAAATAAGGGCAGAGGGATGGCCTGGGGTAGATGCCACAGAGAGAGGTGTGTAGGGAGCCGGTTAGTTGAGGGTTCAGATCTAGTGAGGGTGCATTTGTGAACTCCTTGTGAGGAACAGTGTATAAAGTTAATATGATGAAAACACATTCTTCATACAGAGGATGGTATGAAAGAAGGGAAGGTGTGGCCGGTTGTGGTGTCTCATGCCTGTAATCCCAGCACTTCGGGAGGCCAAGGCAGGGAGATCATGAGGTCAGGAATTTGAGACCAGTCTGGCCAACACAGTGAATCCCCGTCTCTAATAAAAATACAAAAAAAAAATGTCACCGGGCATGCAGACAGGCACCTGTAATCCCAGCTGCTTGGGAGACTGAGGCAAGGGAAGTGGAGGCTGCAGTGAGCTGAGTCGGTGCCACTACACTCCAGCCTAGGTTACAATGTGAGACTGTCTCAAAAAAAAAAAAAGAGAAAGTACATCAAACCTGTGCATTCCACAGTAGCAGCTCTGTCTTCAGCAGCTTAGCAAACTGCTCTAATTCCCTGTCTGTAAAACGTTGTTTTGAACTCCAGGAAAGATAATTGATATCAGAAGTGCATGCTTCTGGGATGGAGGGTGAGGGACTAGGTGTGAGAGTGGTACCAATCACACAGGCAAGGGTGAAAGGACTGAGCCTAAAATGGAGTGGCCCCTGAATGATCTGAGTCTTCATCAGGCAGCACCTTGCATGCAGACCATCATCTGATGATGGGAACAAACTTGTGTTTGGGTGAAACAGGCTTCCCCATTGCAGTTACTATAACACCTGTGTGGTAGTAAGGTGCAGAATTACTCAATGCCCACTTCAAGTTTACCATTGAGATGATTTCCCACCCCCCTCCTCTAACTGGCACCATTGCCCATAACTAACTTCTTGCTCTCCCCAGGTACCTCAAGAACCCCTTGGGGGCCTTTATATTCAGTGATGCTTACCTAGCTGATCGGGACATGGAGTGTCTGTCTCAGTACCCAAGCCTCAGTCAGCTAAAGGAGCTGCGTCTGATTCATATCCTAATGTGGACCACCAATCTTCAGCCCCTTGGAGCTCTGCTAGAGAAAGTTGCTGCTACTCTCAAGACCCTCGTCTTAAAGGACTGTCGGATCCAGGACCCCCAACTCAGGGTCCTCCTGCCTGCCCTGAGCCACTGTTCCCAGCTCACCACCTTCAACTTTCATGGAAATGAGACCTCCATGAATGCTCTGAAAGACCTGCTGCGTCACACACGTGGGCTGAGCAAGTTAGGCCTGGAGTTGTATCCTGCCCCTCTGGAGAGTCTTGACTACAAGGGTCATGTCAATTGGGAGATCCTCACCCCAATTCGGGCTGAGCTGATGCGTACACTCAGGGAAGTCAGGCAGCCCAAGAGGATCTTCTTTGGTCCCGTCCCTTGCCCTACCTGTGGCTCATGGCCATCTGAGAAAGTGGACTTCCATCTTTGCTCCTAGGGAAGGCCTGGTTCGTGGGATGGATAAGCTTTTTTCTGGACACTTGGGAACTAAAATATTGTACATGGGTGCATTTTTTAAAATTTTATTTTATTTTTTATATTTTTTATTTTATTTTATTTTTATTTTATTTTATTTTATTTTTTGAGACAGAGTCTCACTGTGTCCCTCAGGATGAAGTGCAGTGGCACAATCTCAGCTCACTGCAAGCACCACCTCCTGGGTTCAAGTGATTCCCCTGCCTCAGCCTCCCAAGTAGCTGGTGTTGTGGGTGTATGCCCCCACGCCTGGCTAATTTTTGTATTTTTAGTAGAGACAGGGCTTCACGATGTTGGCGAAGGCTGACCTCAAACTCCTGACCTCAAGTGATCTGACCACCTTGGCCTTCCACAGTGCCAGGTTTACAGGTGTGAGCAGCAGGGCCCGGTCACCCGCTTCTTAAAGGAAGCACACAGCCACGTATTTGAGGCACGTGCTCACTGTGAGTGGAAAAACAAAGGTGACTCAGCCAGGGGCAGGACTGGGTAAAAATGCTGACTTGGCATCAATGAGGCCTTCAGGGACCTGTGTCCTAGACTTAGAAATGGAACCTGAAGTTCTAGAGTGATGCAGGACTTACCCCTGCAAGGATGGTTATTTAAAAATGTCAAAAATAAATGGAACCTGAATGGAAACTTTCTGGTGTCTTCCATGATTGATCAACCTGTTTTAGACATTTATACATCAGAAGTCTCTAGAAATCTGCCTCCTGGGTTCAAGCAATTCTCCTGCCTCAGCCTCCTGAGTAGCTGGAACTACAGGGACCCGCCACCATGCCTGGCTATTTTTTGTATTTTTTGTAGAAACGGGGGTTTCACCATGTTGACCAGGCTGGTCTTGAACTCCTGACTTCAGGCAAACCATCCGCCTCAGCCTCCCAAAGTGCTCAGATTGTAGACATTAGTCACTGCACCTGGCCTGAAATTCTGATATAAGCATAAAATGTGTAATGTTCAAATCATGGTAACAGGAATAGCCACCATCTCAAGAATTTATCATTTCTTTGTGTTAGCAACATTCCAATTCCATTGTTTTAATTATGTAGAAATTTACTATGAACTATTGTCAACACGAGTTGCCCTATTGTGCTACTGAACCCTAGATCTTATTCCTGTCTGTGTTTTTGTTCCCATTAACCATCCCCTTCTTATTCTCTATTTCCCAGTACCCTTCCTAGCTTCTGATAACCGTCATTTTACTATTTTTAAGTTTCGTGTTTTTTAATTCCCAAATATGAGTGCAAACATGCCATGTTTGTCTTTCTGTATCTGGCTTACTTCACTCAACATAACGCCCTCCAGTTCCATCCATGTTGTCGCAGATGACAGGATTTCCTTCATGTTTACAGCTCAATGATATTCTGTTGTGTATATTTACCACATTTTCTTGATCCATTCATCTGTTGATGGACACTTATGTTGATTCCAAATTTTGGCTATTGTGGATAGTGCTACAATAAATAGGAGAGTGCAAGCTGAGTGCAGTGGCTCATGCCTGTAATCCCAGAATTTTGGGAGGCTGAGGCAGGTGGATTACTTGAGGTCAGGAGTTCGAGACCAGCCTGACCAACATGGTAGTGTAGATATCTCCTGGATATATTTCTTTTTTTTTTCTGGATATATATCCAGCAGTGGGATTTATGGTTTATATGGTAATCCTATTTTTATTTTTTGGAGGAAACTCCATGCTGCCTTCCTTAGTAGCTGTACTAATTTACATAACTACCAATGTTGTACCAGGGTTCTCATTTCTCCATATTCTTCATAGCATCCATTATTTTCTGTTGGTTTTTTATGGGGGAGATCCCCTTACTATTAAAACTCAAATCCAGTTTGGTGTAAACACAGAAACCCTGCTAGAGTTGCCTGCCACCCTTGAAACAGGCCATTGGAATGAAAATTGTCCACCTATGCACCAGGTCTCTATTGGACAGAATGCTTTTGTCCCAGAGGTTGTTCACATTAGAGGACATTTCTTTTTTGTTTTTCTTTACTTTTCTGCCTTTTTTTTTTTTTTTAAGGTAGAGTTTCACTATTGTTGCCCAGGCTGGAGTGCAATGGTGGGATCTCAGCTCACTGCAACCTCCACCTCCCGAGTTCAAGCGATTCTCTTGCCTCAGCCTCCCAAGTAGCTGGGATTACATTCATGCACCACCACAGCTGGCTAATTTTGTGTTTTTAGTAGAGACAGGGTTTCTCCATGTTGGTTAGGCTGGTCTCGAACTCCCAACCTCAGGTTATTCCACCACCTCAGCCTCCCAAAGTGCTGGGATTACAGGCAGGAGCCACCACATCCAGCTAGAGGACATTTCTGATGTCTCCATATTGATGGAATTTAAAATAACTCTCTGGTAAATTGTTTTCTATAATAGCCTTAAATAAAAATGGAGAAGGTGAGATTAAGATCATTGCAGACTTAGGTACAGAATTGGTGGAAACCAGGGCTGCCATATCCAGTGTACAGCCAATATATCAGCAAATCCCTTGGAGAAAGGAAAATATTTCTGAGGAGGGGTTTCACATGAAGTTCAGAAAATTCCTGTGTTTGAAGCAGTCCAAATGACATTTGGACCATTTTTAGGAAAGTATGGCTTTTTATTAAGTGACAACATGGGGATGAGATTTGCTTTCTCCGTTAAGTTGATGCGTAAAGCTTTCTTTGGAGGGAGAGAAAACCCTAGAGTTTCCTGACCTTCCTTAACCTGAACTGCTTGGTTCCCTAGAAGCAGAAATTGATCATATTAGAACCCAAACTCATACCAACCTTGACTTTCATGAAGTACTCAAGTGTTTCTGCTCTTCTTCCTCATGTGATGTAGAAAGTATTAAAAGTGATGAGTTTAGGCCGGGCACGGTGGTTCATGCCTGTAATCTCAGCACTTTCAGAGGCCGAGGTGGGTGCATCACCTGTGGTCAGGAGTTCCAGACCAGCCTGGGCAACATAGTGAAACTCTGTCTCTACTAAAAATACAAAAACTAGCTGTGTGTGGTGGCCTGTGCCTGTAATTCCAGCTAACTGGAAGACTGAGGCAGGAGAATCACTTGAACCGGGAGGCAGAAGTTGCAGTGAGCTGAGATCGCACCATTGCACTCCAGCCTGGAAAACAAGAGTGAAACTCCATCTCAAAAAAAAATTAATAAATAAATACATTATAAATAAATAAATTAATTAATGCTTTAAAGAAAAAAGAAATAAACTTTGCCTACAAGTTTCATATGCAATTGAATACCTCTTAAATTTTGATGTGAACCGACCAGGCATGGTGGCTGAGGCCTGTAATCCCAGCACTTTGGGAGGCCAAGGCAGACAGACCACGAAGTCAGGAGATTGAGACCATCCTAGTTAACATGGTGAAACCCCGTCTTTACTAAAAATACAAAAAATTAGCCAGGTGTAGTGGCATGCACCTGTAGTCCCGGCTATTTAGGAGGCTAAGGCAGGAAAATTGCTTGAACCGGGGAGGCAGAGGTCGAAGTGAGCTGAGATCGTGCCACTGCATTCCAGCCTGGTGACGGAGCGAGACTCCATCTCAAAAAATAAATGAATAAAATAAATAAATCAATAAAAATATTGTGACAGGAACCAACATTGCTCAACTTGTACACTAATGTCTTACAAAATCCTTTCCTTGTCACCTTCAAATCTCCATTTCAAATGCTACACTCTGCATAACTCTACCACTTTGTTGCCATTTTCTGATGATGGAGAAGACCATACATGTGTGTGTGTGGCATCAGAACTATTGACTCCTCCTATTGATGTTTAAGATATTCCATTACACAAACCTGGGTTCATACTTTTTGTTGATAGATCTTATGCCAAAAATGTAGGCAAAAAATGCCAAGCAGGAAATGCTATCACTTCTGAAGATGAATTC